>NW_025791815.1:0-189707 GCF_000001405.40 Homo sapiens | reverse complement strand
AGTGAGGAGGCTGTGCTGACTGGCTCAGAGCATCAGGGCACCCCTCCAGCAGGGGAGTGTGCGCACCCAGCATAACGGGGAAGTCGCTGCACCCTAAGAATAGGCAGTTGGCCTGCAAACCCAGACTCCATGCAGCCCCCTCCCCAGGTAGGAACCAGGCATCGGGCTGGCCACAAGCTGTCACGACTTCAGGGCTGAGCCAGGGCCTTGCCTCCTCCAGCCCCCCATGCCAGCTTCTGTCCTTTCCACAGTGTTAAGTCATCCTCCAACACATCTCTCAGCCCAGGGTTCAAGTCTCCTCCCTCTTCGCCAGCTTCTGTCCTTTCCACAGTGTTAAGTCATCCTCCAACACATCTCTCAGCCCAGGGTTCAAGTCTCCTCCCTCCTCTCACAGCAGTCCCTGGGGCTGCTCTGTCTGCTGTACCTAATAGCTGGCCTTTGACTTTTGCACAGCTGGACGTTCATGCTGGAGGAAACTTTTACCTGTTCTCCCTGGAAGGAAAGCTGCAGGGACCCACACAAGACCTGCAGCCTTGCTGGTGTCCTCTGCAGTTGCTTCTTTCTTTCACACGATAGAAAATAAACGGTCTCTTTTTCGTGTACTTTGTAGAAACACCGAATCAGAGTCCGAAGAGCCCCACGATGGTAGATAGGAAGGGGACGCTTCGACCACAGGGCGCGGGAGGTTGGGGCCCAGAGAGAGTAAATCATGCTGTCAGGGTCACAGGTAGCAGTTTGTAGAACCGAATCTGACCCAAAACAAAGTCTGTTAACAGACCTTTGAGCGAAGAGCGATTTCATGAGTCACAATGCACCTGCACACTCCGTTTTTTTCTAACTGGAGTGAGGAGGGGAGCGTGTGCTTTTAAAGAGAGCGTCCGTCTGGAAACGCTGCACATTCGCTTTGACAGGAACACGGCAGGCAAAACAATCTGATTAGTGACCCTCCGGGAGCCGCGATCCGATTAGGCCTCCCAGGTGCCTGTGCTGGCTGCCCGTGGACGGAGGTGGCTGGAGACAGCAGAGCGGGCGGAATCAGGTCTGGTTTATGTTGAAGACTAAGATGCGTCTCTGGGGACGCTTGCCAGTTTCTGCTTGGCCTTGGCAGCTTTGTTAACCTGGCAACTGGAGCAAGAGAGAGGCCTATTTGAAAAATTAAAGATGTGACGAAGGGATAAAAAGGTCTCTGGAAATTTCCATCTGAGTGCTGGAGACCAAATGTGTTCCCCCCATCAGGACAGCAACTTGGGCTGCCATCTTCCTGCCAAGAAGTTCAGCGGGGCATGTTTCCACTCAGCCTGCTGAGGAGAAGTCAGCTATTAGCAGTGTTATTTTTTAAACATGAGACGCTTTCTAAGAGAATTTAGAAGACATATTTGTCTTAAAAATTATGACTTATTCAATGCAAGCTGTTTGTTGTGTAACAAGATTGGGTGAAATGAAATCCGCTCCGATGACAGGGCTTCTGTTGGAATGTGCCACTGTGGACGGTCTGTGTTTATAGACTGGAGAATTAATCATTTTAAACTCCAGAAAAAACCCACACACTTCCGGGGTGAATGCTAAAGACAGTGCTGTGGTCCCTCTGTAACACCAACAATCCACAGACTTTACTCTAAAACCCATATTTCCAACTCTGGGGTTCCTACTTGCTTCCCGCACCCTGGCTTCGCTTTATTGAGAGCACAGATTAACTGCACACATTTAAAGTACACAATATGATACGTAGGCACTTCTGAAACTGTCACTAAAATCTAGGTCATGAACATATTTACCCCAAAATCTCTTCCTCCGCCTCAGATTCTCTTACACTGCTCCCTTGTCCCCAGGCAGCTGTCGGTCTGTTTCCAGAGCTACTGATGGATCTCCACCTTCTAGAGTTGTATAGAAATGGACTCAGGGGGCCAGGCACAGTGGCTCACACCTGTCATCCCATCACTTTGGGAGGCCGAGGCGGGCGGATCACCTGAGGTAGGGAGTTCGAGACCAGCCTGGCCAACATGGTGAAACCCTGTCTCTACTAAAATTGCAAAAATTACCCAAGCATGGTGGTGCACACCTGTAGTCCCAGGTACTGGGGAGGCTGAGGCAGGAGAATCACTTGAATCAGAGAGGTGGAGGTTGTAGTGAGCCGAGATTGTGCCACCACACTGCGGCCTGGATGACAGAGCAAGACTCTGTTGTTAGACTGGCCTCAGTCATGAGCACAATTGCTTTGACATTTATTCACAGCATTGCACGGGCCGGTCACTCCTTCACCAAGTCATGCGGATTGGTCATTTACTTCTTTTTTTTTTTTTTTGGAGATGGAGTCTCGCTCTGTTGCCCTGGCTGGAGTGCAGTGGGTGCTATCTCGGCTCACTGCAACCTCCACCTTCCAGGTTCAGGTTGAAGCAATTCTCCTGTCTCAGCCTCCTGAGTAGCTGGGATTACAAGCGCCCGCCACCACACCCGGCTAAGTTTTTGTATTTTTAGTAGAGACGGGGTTTCACCATGTTAGCCACGATGGTCTTGATCTCCTGACCTCGTGATCCGCCCGTCTTGGCCTCCCAAAGTGCTGGGATGACAGGCGTGAGCCACTGCGCCCCAGCCATCTTACCGGGTTTTAATTTCCGTTTCCCTCATGAATAATGACACTCTTTCATGTGCTTATTTGCCATAACTAAACTGTTTATTATTTTTTCTAGTGTAGTTTTTCCTTTTATTTATTTTTAAATCCTTTTTTTTTTCTTTTGAGATGGAGTCTCTGTCACCCAGGCTGGAGTGCAGTGGCGCGATCCCAGCTCACAGCAACCTCTGCCTCCCTGGTTCAAGCAATTCTCCTGCCTCAGCCTCCCAAGTAGCTGGGATTACAAGTACCCGCCACCATGCCTGGCTAATTTTTGTATTTTTAGTAGAGATGGGGCTTCTCCATATTGGCCAGGCTGGTCTTGAACTCCTGACCTCAAGTGATCCACCCACCTCAGCCTCCCAAAGTGCTAGGATTACAGGTGTGAGCCACCTTAAAGTACTCTTCGTAACAGATTCAGATTTACAGAAAAATTGTGAAGATGGTACAGAGAGTTCCCACATACCTGGTACCCACAGTTTCCCTCATAAACATCTTCCATTACTAGGATACATTTGTTACAATTCATGAACCAATACTGATACATTGTCGCTCTCCAAAGTCCCCACTTTATTCAGATATTATTAGTTTTTCTCTAAGGCGCCTTTTCTGCCCCAGGATCCTGTTCAGAATCCCATGCTACGTTTAGTTATCTCGTCCCCATAGGCTTCTCTTAGCTGTGACAGCTTCTCAAGCTTTTCTTACTTTCGATGGCCTTGTCAGTTTTGAGGAGGACTGGGCAGGTATTCTGCAGAGTGTCTCTCAGTTGGGATCTGCTGGCGTCTGAGGTTTTCTCATGATTAAACTGGGAATATGGGGTTTTGAAAGAAGACCATTGAGGTAACCCACCATCTTCAGACAATCATGTCAAGGATCCGTATGACCAGCATGATTGTCACCATTGATGAGGACTTTCATCACCTGGCTAAGACAGCTTGTCCGCTTCCTTGCTGAGAGTGTTCTTTCCCCTTCCGGAACAGTCCGTCTTGGAGGGAAGTTGCTGTGCCCAGCCTGCACGCAAGAACTGGGGAGTTACGCCCCCTCTGAGGCAGAGTGTCTACATAAATTATTTGTCATTCCTCCATGCAGATTTGTCTCTTCTCCTTCATTTATTTGTGGATATGTTATTGCATCCTTTATTTAGATTGGCGTGGACTTGTGGGTATTTACACTTGGGTCACAGTGCAATAACACTTCTTGATTTTGTTGCTCACACTGTTCCAGCATTGCCCGTTAGGAGCTCTTCCAGTCAACTCCTGTAGCCCTTTGACATAGCCCATCAATCTGAGGTTTGTTTTGGCATTTTATTACTACATTTTAGTACAAGATGTTCTAGTCTCATCTTGTATATTACTGGCCCCAGCTCTGGAATCCACCAGTTCTCCAAGGAACCCTGGTTCCTTTCATTGAAGAAGCATATTGGAAACCGAGATCTGAGCATGAGATGTGCTTATAGCTATTGAGGTGTTGTTGCTGCCAAACCCTCTCAGCTCACAGAGGAGAAAATATATGTGCATATATTAACCATGTATATATGCATATCTAAAATACTTCTCTAGGTAGCCGTAGAAATCTATACAGGGCTAAACATCAGTTCATACCAATGTCTCCAACTCAAATCTAGCACCATGTGGGTCATCCCAGCTGCCTCCTCTTGCTTCTGTAACCTCCTAATAGTGAGAAACCTGGCTCCTACCATCTGCTATCCATGTATTTAATTGTTCAATTTTCAGTATACATGTGCTGTGGTTTGAATGTGTTCCCCAAAAGTTCGTGTGTTGAAACTTGATCCCCAGTGAAGCAGCGTTGAGAGGCAGGACCTTTGAGAGGTGATTGGATTAATCAGTTCATGGATGAATGGGTTATGCCGGGAGTGAGTGAGTTACTTCTCAGAAGAATGGGTCTGTTGTAAAAGCGAGTCTGGCCATCTCTTGTAAGACCCTCACCATCTGATGCCCTGTGCCACCTGGGACTCTCCAGAGGGTCCCCACTAGCAAGAAGGCCCTCACCAGATGCAGCCGCCTGACCTTGGACCTCCCAGCTTCCAGAATGGTAAGAAATAGATTTCTTTATAAAGTACCTAGTCTTAGGCATTCAGTTATAGCAACAGAAAACAGACTAAGACAATATTATGGTAGTGTCAGAACTGTTAATTCACACCTCACTGGGAGACAACTTTGTCAGCTAGAGTCCAGTGCTTACGTACTGTTCCTTTGCCTTTAGTCTTAAAGACTCCACTCATTCTGAACTA
The DNA here is from genome assembly GCF_000001405.40 of Homo sapiens. Classification (NCBI taxonomy): domain Eukaryota; kingdom Metazoa; phylum Chordata; class Mammalia; order Primates; family Hominidae; genus Homo; species Homo sapiens. Next base: position 184,848 of record NW_025791815.1, on the reverse strand, counting down.
GGTCAGTGCTGTTCCCCCACTCCCTTCAGTGAGGATGTTCCATGCGTTTGTAATACAGTTAGATGGTTTTGTCACATTCTGGATTCCATCCTGAGGTCCTTGAGCTTCCTAAATGGTTTTTAAATTTGCATACAATGGGGTGTATTCTTTGTACTGTAAAGTTTCACAGGTTTTTGATAAGTTTATAATATCACATATCCACCAATACACTATCATACAGAATAACTGCCCTAAATAATCTCCCGTGCTTTAGCTATTCAGTCCTCCAGCCCTTCCCACAAACTCTTTACCACTGATCTTTTTACTAGCACAATGGTTTTGCCTTCTCCAGAATGTCACATCATTGGGGTTATATAGTGTGTAGTGTTTTCTGCCTGACTTCTTTCACTGAGTCTTATGCTTTTAAGATTTATCAGGAATGTGTTTCTGTATCTATTGACCACATGATTTTTCCTTATGTTTATTGTGGTGAATTCCATTGATTGACTTTCCATTGCTAAACCAACCTTACATTCTTGGCATAAACACCAGTAGGTCACAGTGGAGTTTCTTTTTTATATGTTGTTGGGCATAATTTGAGAATTTTTGTGTCTACATTTAACTAAGGACAGAGCAGAGTGAAATATTTAAAATGTTGAAAGAACTCCACCAACTTCGAGTTCTATATCCAGTAAAATTATTCTTCAGCGTAAGGGAAAAATAAAAATGTTCTCAGACAAATAAAAATGGAGAGAATTAATCACCAGCAGACATGCTCTACCAGAAATATTAGAAGAAGTTCCTTAGGAAGAAGGAAATTATATAGGTCAGAAACTTGAATCTATATAAAGAAACTAAGTGTTTGAGGATGAATAAATATAAAATCCTCCCCCCCTTATTCTTAGTTGATCTAAAATACAACTATTTATTAAAAGTAATAATTATAATGATATTGGGTGATTATAGCATATAGGTAAGTAAAACAAATGACAGCAATGTGGTAAGGGATGGGAGAGGACTGGGAATATTCTGTTACAAGATACTTGTATGTGGAGCAACATAGCGTTATTTGAAAGTGGATTTAGATTAGTTGTAAGTGTATATTGCAAACTCTAGGAAAACACCTTAAAAATTTTTTAATAAAAATTGATATGCAAAGAAAAGAAATACATGGAATGTGTACAGAATCATGTAAGATGCTCAGTTAAAACCAGAGAAGGCAGAAAAAGAATCTCAAATTGTGTTTTCATCTTCAACCAGTTTAAAATACTTTCTAATTTCCTTGTTCGTCGTTTCTTTGACTGGTGGGTTATTCAGATATCTGTTTTCAGTTTGTAAATATTTAGAGATTATTCAGAAATCTTTGTATTATTAATACCTGATATATTTCCGATTGGCCAGAGAACATACCATGATGCAGTGAAACCTTCAAATTTATTGGGAATTTTTTTTTTTTTTTTTTTTTGAGACGGAGTCTCGCTCTGTCACCCAGGCTGGAGTGCAGTGGTGCGATCTTGGCTCACTGCAAGCTCCACCTCCCGGGTTCATGCCATTCTCCTGCCTCAGCCTCCCCAGTAGCTGGGACTACAGGTGCCCACCACACGCCCGGCTAATTTTTTTTGTATTTTTTTAGGAGAGACGGGGTTTCACCATGTTAGCCAGGATGGTCTTGATCTCCTGACCTCGTGATCCACCCAACTCAGCCTCCCAAAGTGCTGAGATTACAGGCATGAGCCACCGCACCCGGCCGGGAATTGTTTTATGACCCAGAATACGGCCTATTTTGGTAAATTGTTTGTGTACAGATGAAAAGAATGTGTATTCTCCTGTTGCTGGGTGACATATTTGATAAATATTAATTTGGCTGATAGTATCCTTCAAGTCTTGTCTGCCTTTACTAAGTTGTCTATCAATTTGTTCTATCAGTTATTGAAATGAGGTGTTGAACTCTCTGACTGTAATTGTTGGTTTGTGTACTTCTCCTTACATTCTAGCTGTTTCTGCTTCATGTATTTTGAAGCTTTATTAGGTGCGTACATGGTTAGGGTTGTTAAGATCTCTTGATGAACTAATCCCTTTATTATTATAAAAAATCCTCTTTATTTCTTACAATGTTACTTATCTGATATCTACTTTGATATTGTAATAGCCACTCTGGCCATCTTTTGAATAGTGCGATGGTATATATTTTTCCATCTTTTGATTTTAAGCCAATTTTATATATTTATATTTAAAGTGTTTTTCCCTGTCAGCAACATAAAGTTGAGTCTGGCTTTCTTATCTAATCATATAATCTCTGCCCCAGTTGAATTGTTTGGGCAATTAGAACATGACTGTGATTATTAATATGATTGGGTTTAAATCTATTATCTTACTTTTCTTCTTATATTTGTTCCATCTGTTATTTTTTCTTTTTTCTGCCTTCTTTTGCATTGTGTTTTTAATTCCATTTATCTTCTTTGTTGGCTTATTAGCTATAATTCTTGTTTTTTCTTTTATTTGTAGCTTTAAGATAAATAGTATGTATCTTTAACTTACGCAGTAATGTGATATTAAAATAGCATCTTTCCATCCCCTCTCACACCTTTTTTGCTGTTGTCAAACATTTTTAAAACTCACACGTTTTTAAACCTCACACTTTTTTTTTTTTTGAGACAGGGTCTTTCTTACTCTGTCATCCAGGCTGGATTGTGGAGTGCAATGGCACGATCATGGCTCACTGCCACCCTGACCTCTCGGGCACAGGAGGTCCTCCCACCTCAACCTCCCGAGTAGCAGGAACTATGGCATGTGCCACCATGCCCGGCTAATTGTTTGTATTTTTTGTAGAGATGGGGTTTTGCTACATTGCTCAGGCTGGTCTTAAACTCCTGAGCTCAAGCAATCCGCCCGTCTCGGCCTCCCAAAGTGCTGGGATTACAGGTGTGAGCCACCGTACCTGGCCAACCTCACACATTTTTAAACCTCACAATACATCATTAGGTTTTTTCTTTTCGTTTTAAGCAGTTGGTTATCTTTTAAGGATATTTTAAAAGTAAGTTTTTAATATTCGTCCACATATTTTCCATTTCCAATACTTTTTATTCCTTTGTCCAGCTTCAGATTGTCCTTCTGTCCGACGACTGCCTTTAACATGTCATATGACATTTGTCTACTGTTGATGAAATCTTTCAGTCTTTGGATTCCTAAAAAAGTCTATTTCACCTCCATTTTTAAAAGATGCTTTTCTCGGGTATAGAATTCTAACACTTTTTAAAAATCTGTTGGTACTTTCGGCCGGGCGCAGTGGCTCATGCCTGTAATCCCAGCACGTTGGGAGGCTGAGGCGGGTGGATCACAAAGTCAAGAGATTGAGACCATCTTAGCCAACATGGTGAAACCCCATCTCTACTAAAAATACAAAAGTTAGCCAGGCGTGGTGGAGCATGCCTGTAGACTCAGCTACTCAGGAGGCTGAGGCAAGAGAATTGCTTGAACCTGGGAGGCGGAGGTTGCAGTGACCCGAGATCGCACCACTGCACTCCAGCCTGGCAACAGAGTAAGACTCCGTCTCAAAAAAAAAAAAAAAAAAGAAAAAAGAAAAAAAGAAAAAGAATCTGTTGGCACTTTAAAGAGGTTGCTCCATGGTCTTCTCACTTGCATTGTTTCCAATCAGAAATCCATCCTTATCCTTATCTTCATTCCTCTGTATGTGAAGTTTTCCCTCCCTCTAGTTGGTTTTAAGAAATTTCTCTTTAACACAAGTTTTGAGCAGTTAGATTATAATGTGACTTGGTGTTGTTTTCTTAATATTTCTTGTGCTTGGGGTTTACTGAGATTCTTGGATTTGTGGGTTTACCTTGTTCAAATCCTTGTTTTACAACTTAAAGTGCCTTAATATTACACACGCATTAGGGCACTTTAAGTTGTCCTGTAGCTCACTGATGCTCTGTCCATTTTTTAAGTATTTTTTTCTGTGTGTTTTATTTTGTACAGTCTCTATTGCTGTTGCTGTGTCTTCAGGTTCACGCATCTGTTCTTCTTCAATGTCTAATCTGCGGGGATCCCATCCAGTGTACTTTTCACCTCAGACGTTGTAGTTTTCATCTCTAGAAGTTTGATTTGTGTTTTTTTTTTTAAATCTTCAATGTGTCTCCTCCTAATACTCACTCTTTTCTTTACCATTTTGAACATAAAAATATAGTTACAATAATTGTTTTAATGTCCTTTTCTGCTAAATCTACCTTCTTTGTCATTTCTAGATCTGTTTCTATGGATTAATTTATATCCTCATTTTGGGTTACGTTTTCTTTTTCTTTTTTGCATGCCCACTAATTTTTGATTGCATGCCAGATATTCTGAGTTTACTTTGTTAAATAATTGACATTTTTGTCTTCCTACAAATATTCTTGAGCTTTGTTCTGGAATGCAATTAAGTTACATGGAAACAGTTTGTTTCTCCCGAGGCTTGCTTTGAACGTTTCAGGCAAGGTCAGAACAGTTTTTAGCCTAGAACGAGTTTATCTCCCCTACTGTGGCAAAGCCTTCTGAGTGCTCCACTCCACGTCCCATGGGCCATGAGATCTCTGCTCTGACTGGCGGAACAGGCAACATTCCTGCCTGTGCATGAGCTCTAAGGGTCACTTCTGCTTCTCTTTCTGATGGTCTTTCCCTGGCCTTGAGTATTTGCCTCTCACACCTGCACAGATCCGTACACACGTAGATACCGGAGGAGGATCTTCCACGGACTGTTGGAATCTGCTGTAAATTCAGCTCCTTCCCCTCTGATCCATTCACACCTAGACACTGGAGGAGGATCTTCCATGGACTGTTGGAATCTACCGTAAATTCAGCTCCTTCCCCTCTGATCCATTCACACCTAGATACCGGAGGAGGATCTTCTGCGGATTGTTGGAATCTACCGTAAGTACAGCTCCTTTCTGTCTGGGACTCCGTCCTGTGGTTTATGGCCATCTTTGCCTAGCAGGCTCCCAGCTGTGTTTCCTCAGCTGTAGGAAACCGTGGTTCTGCCTGGATTCCTTTTCCCTGTGCTGCATCCTGGAAACTCTCTCCTGGTCATGAGCTCCGGCAGCTCTAGGTCTCAACCCGTTTGTTTCACGTCTCTCAGGGAGCACTGCACCACGCTGCCGGAGACCAGGCTCTGAAAACATTTTGCTTCACATATTTGCCTGTTTTTTTCAGTTGTTTCATGGGGGAGAGTGAGTCTAGGTTCTGTTCCTCCCAGGCTGTTAGTGGAAGTTTTCAGAACTGGCCTTTTGAAAAACTTCCCAGAGACAGTCACAAATGTTCCGTAGTCACTGGGGCTTCCCTTTACGATGCCGATGTGGTGAATGCGTGTGGTGTCGTGTCAGTGTGATGCACCTGTGTGGTGAGTGTTGTCTGTGTATCATTTTCCACAAACATAGATTTTGGTTCATGCCTGAGCTCTCTGACTGATAACTGTCTTAAGATTAAAAGGAAACCCTTTGGAGTTAGTGTGCATTTCTGGATTTGTCTTTTTTTTTTTTTTTTTTTGAGACAGAGTCTTGATCTGTTGCCAGACTGGAGTGCAATGGCGCGATCTCAGCTCACTACAAACTCCGCCTCCTGGGTTCAAGTGATTCTCCTGCCTCAGCCTCCTGAATAGCTGGGATTACAGGCGCCCGCCACCATGCCCAGCTAATTTTTGTATTTTTAGTAGAGACAGGGTTTCACCATGTTGGCCAGGATTGTCTTGATCTCCTAACCTTGTGGTCTGCCCGCCTTGGCCTCTCAAAGTGTTGGGATTACAGGCGTGAGCCACTGCACCCAGCCTGGAAGTCTTATCTTTCTTTGCTGTGCAGGTTCCCACCTTCACTTTTTATTTAATTTTTTAATTATTTATTATTTATTTATTTATTTTTTGAGATGGAGTCTCGCTGTGTCCCCAAGGCTGGAGTGCAGTGTCATGATCTTGGCTCACTACAACCTCCGCCTCCTGGGTTCAAGCAATTCTCTTGTCTCAAACTCCCAAATAGCTGGGACTACAGGTGCATGCCACCACACTTGGGTAATTTTTGTATTTTTAGTAGAGACAGGGTTTCACCATGTTGACCAGGCTGGTCTCGAACTCCTAACCTCAGGTGATCTGCCCACCTCAGCCTCCCAATGTGCTGGGATTACAGGCATGAGCCACCGCGCCCGGCCTCACCCTCACTTCCAATGCAGAGTCCAGCACTTGCAGCTGGAACCCACCAGGCCAGGAGTGGGAACACCGGGAGACGCTCCGGGCCCCAGACCTACCATATTTAATCCTGGCTGCACAAACGCAACATGTTCTAACTTGAAAGAGGTTCATTTATTACAAGTGAATGGCATGGCAAGTTACTGCAATAGAATACTCAAATATTTATTTTATACTTGGTCAATTATTTCTAGCACATCTTTTAGGGTCATTGCTCGTTCCTGTTTTACTTTGGTTGTGCTTGTCTGAAGGCATTTGCCCCCAGCTGGGTGTTGTTCAGACCTCTTGCCTCTCTTGTCTTCTCAACAAGACTCGGTGACATTTGCTCTCTCCAAGTGCACGGCAGCAGAAAATACTGTGGTTCGCAAGGCAGGGAAAGTGGATTAGGCTTGGTCGTTTATTCTCGTTCTTTCCTTCTTCCTTTGCACATGGGTGGCTGGGAAGCAGCTTCGTTTCTAAGGGCAGGGAATGACCACAGCAGTTGTAAGAGCAGCAGCTGAGGCTGAGCCAGGCCATGAGCATTCCCTCCGCCAGCCGTGAGAGCGCCTCTTTATCATGGAGAAAGCAGCATCAGAGAGGCCAGCTCAGAGGACAGCGCCGATTCTCCGGGGCTCGGGCCTCCCTCAGCTCCAAGCCTGGGTGCTGCTCTTCTTGTTTGTCTGTTTGGCCTCAGCCCAGCATTGGGTTCGTCCTCCTCATTGGCACTTGGCCACTGTTGTCACCACTCCGCAAGGCACCTCACCTTTGTCATTCCTCTTCTTGGTCCTTCAAATCCTCATTCCCAACTCCAACCTCCGCTCCCCTGCCCCGCCGTGTGCGGCCGTCCTTGCTGGTGTTGTCTCTTCCCTCCTGTTCTGGAGGAGTGTGTGTCTCTTTGTTTGGACTCTGATTTCGCTTCCTACCATGGTGCCAGTGCCACATCCCATTCCCACATGGCGTCTCCAAGACCCCTCCCTGCTGCGTGGTGGATTAGCTCCTGTGGGCGCCACCGTGGGCACCCTAGCGGGGGTGCCAGTGCCACATCCCATTCCCACATAGCGTCTCCAAGACCCCTCCCTGCTGCATGGTGGATTAGCTCCTGTGGGGGCCATAGTGGGCACCCAGTGCGCTTTGCCTGACCCTCCCAAGGTGATGGACATGGAGTGTCCCGCTCCTGCTGGCCTCATTGAGCCGTGGGCACGTCCCTGTGTGGGCCCTGTGTGGCTGTGGGAGGAGTCCTTGGGGGGTGGATCCTGGAGAGGACTTTGCCGGGCCCTGGCGTCCCCACCTCTCAGGGCCAGGCCGCTCCCCAGGAAGGCTGCACGGTTTATGCTCCATGAGTGACCCCAGGGCTCCCCTATGCCCACGTTCTAGCCACACCTGGCACGAGCCAGTTTCCTACATTTTGGGAGCTGGGGGGTGTGACGTGCTGCCTTCTGCAGAGTAAGCTGCATTTCCGACGTTTTGGCCCCTGCTGGTGGTCTGTTCACATGCGGATCCTGTCTCTGGGGCTGTGGCCGATTGCCTGAGGTTCAGCTGTGCCCACTGCCCATGTGGAGGGCTGTCTGCCCCCATCATCATCAGAAATGGATGTCACAGTAAAAATAAATCTGCTTGTCACACTGGGGGCCATTTTGACAGCAAACTCCATGTCTAGCAATTTCTCTTAAAAATACCCTGTGTGAGGGAATGATGCGCATTTGAATGACTAGTTCTTCACTGCTGTTAATAAGGAACACGGAAGCTCTGCGTGTGCTGATGTGGAACCACCTCCGAGCCAGTAAGTGAGAAAACTCGCGCACAGGTGTGGCCCCACGTCCAGAGGTCCATCCGCACGCCCCGGGCTCCAGGTTTGGCCGGATGCTCCCTGGACAGAGCTGCAAATCAGAATCCACAGGTACCTGCAGGGGCCTCAATAAAATAAAGACTGAAAAACAACTGGAAAAAAATATAAATCTTAGCAAATCTTTGCAAGTTGGAGCTGGAAGACCTGGCCTTCCCGTGGTCTCCGGAGGATGCTGCCTACCGCTGGTCCCCATGGGGGACTCGCCCACACCCCTGGCCATTTTCAGTGTGTGTGTTTGTCTCCTTGTCGGTGCGTGGTGACACCTCACCGACCTAAATACACAGATGGGGGCAATTCCCTGATGGACCCAGGACACCGACACTCACCCGGCCTCAACGTTGCGATGTTTCCACACAGCTGAGGGGCTGGCAGTTCTTCATGGTGCTTTTTGACTTAAAGATGTTTTTAGGTTGGATGCAAGCACATCTACTCATCTTTTCCTTTGTGATTTCTGCCACTGACATTCCCAAATTTATGTAGTTATTGACTTCCACATGAAAATTCAATTTAGGCCAGGCACGGTGGCTCATGCCTGTAATCCCAGCACTTTGGATGGCTGAGGTGGATGGATCACGAGGTCAAGAGATCGAGACCATCCTGGCCAACATGGTGAAACCCCGTCTCTACTAAAAATACAAAAATTAGCTGGGCGTGGTGGTGTGCACCTGTAATCCCAGCTACTTGGGAGGCTGAGGCAGGAGAATCGCTTGAACCTGGGAGGCAGAGGTTGTAGTCAGCTGAGATTGCAGCATTGCACTCCAGCCTGGGGACCTAGCCAGACTCCACCTCAAAAAAAAAAAAAAGAAAAAAGAAAAAGAAAATTCAATTTAACTGAAATGTGTTTCCCTGTGTGCTGAGAAATTGGAACACAGCTCCACCTTGTTCCAAGCAACCAGGTGGCCGTACTCTGTCCTGCCCTGGCAACAAGGCTGCCCCGACTCCCTCAGATTCCCAGCCGCAGGGCTTCCTGTAGCAGCTCCGCTCCCTACCTGTGCCTGCCCTCGCTCAAACCAAACGCAGTCCTCTCACACATTTATTTCTGGGGCTGAACTCAAGTCACACTGGCCACATACGAAGAAGAAACACCCTCTGCAGCCTGGTCACAGCCCCACCTGCTGCATCCCTGGGAAGATCCCCAAGGCTCGCCGGCCAGCACCCCTTCTGCGGCACCACTGCCTTCCCGGGTTCTCAGGGGGTCTCACTGCAGTGACAATGGGGCGAATCCTTCAAAGATTGAAGGGCCCACTGGGGATTTCTCAGCAGCCAGAGCTGCAGGCCCACACCCTGGGGCCAGGCTGCAGAGCCAGCATGTCCGAGTCCCAGCTGAGGTCCAGCCAGCCGTGGCCCACCTGGACTTGGGGGGTCTCAGCCTGTCGTCTTGGATGGTGGGTGTCATGCACTTGTCTGGCCTGATCTGTCACCAGCCGTGTGGAGTCCGACTAGAGAGCCTTGGCCCCGAAGGGTTTTCAGAAGCCGCCTCCAGTCTCTCGTCAGCACGGGACGTGCTAACCACTGAGCCCAGGCTTGGAGACGATGCCGCCGCTGTCTGAATATGGAGCCACTCGGCACAGACTGCCTTGGATGGCATGACTCTAAAAATATCCCCAAATAGGTGGCCTCCTGGTCATGCCCTCCGAAGAATGGAGCTCATGTCTAAACAGGAATGATTCCGTCAGACACGCAGGAGGCAAAGGTGAGCATCACACTATCACTCCCCACGCCACTGGGCTCAGGAGGCCAAGTCCGAGTGCCGAGGGCACGGCCACCCCCACACCTGCTTCCCCTCCGCAACTGTCTGGGCTGCGTCTGTGCTGTTAGTTGAGCAGAGGGCTCAGCCTGAGCCGGGACAAGCTCCTCACTAGCATCCCCGAGAGTCACCAGAGCGCAGGACACGGTCCAAGAGAGGCACACTGTCTGAGTGTGGTGGAGGGTTGAGGCTCCCCGGGAGCCTCAGAGCATCCCTTCTGCTCAATTCAGGGCAGTGAGTGGCCTTGGTTTGGGCCCCTGCACCCTGGTCCTGGTCACTGCACAAACCCCCAGCCCTCGCTCCTCTGCTCTGGCCATGAACCACTGCAGGGCTGTGGCTGGAGCAGGACACTCCAGGCGGACACTCACATGCCAGCAGCCTCCGGGCCCAACCGTCTCTGTGACAGAGACTACCAGCAAGGTGTGCAGGACCCGGGGCTCAGGGCCAGGCTGGGGCCACAAGGCACAGGCCAGCACCTGGTTCACCCAGAGCAGACGAGAAGCCTCAGGAGAATGTGGCACGGGCTACGGGGTCAAAGCCGGGGACTCCAGGGTGTCACGAGGCCAAGGTCTGTCTCCACTGATAGGGAAGACCCATCTCCCGGGCCGCTGTCTGAGCCCCAGTGCTCTGGCCTCGGGTTCTCTATCTCAAATCCCTTCCTGCTGCCAGGGCTTCAGCAGCCCCAGGGCCCAGCCTCCAGCTCCGTTCTTCCTGAGTCCTGGGCAGCTCCATGCAGCGGGTGCCATTGTGCAAGGAGCTGACACGTGGGGAGGCAGTGGCTGGTGCCCAAGTCCTGGTACCAGGGCACTGGCCAGGCCAGGGCTGAGCCCAGGGGAGGTTACATGGTGTCCAGAGGCCTCTCGGAGTAGCCAGGCCTCTGAGGCGCCGTCCCAGGAGACACATGCATCTGAGTCGCCGTCCCAGGAGACACATGCGTCTGAGGTGCCGTCCCAGGTGACACATGCATCTGAGTCGCCGTCCCAGGAGACACGTGCAGGCCGGTTGCTGTGCAGGGCCCCCAGGAAGCCCCGGCCACAGGACTCCCATGCCACCCTCCACCCCGCCTCTCTCCCCATCCAAGATCTTCCAGAGGACGTGAGAGAACATTTAAAATACTTTGGTGCAACAGAGACAGATCAGCCACAGAGCGCTTGACAACGTCCTGTTCTGTCCTGTCTGTGGCAGCTCCGGCCATGTCCCTGGCCCCCACCCCATGTCTCCTGGTGCTATGGCTGCAGACAGGTGTGTCACTGACTGGTTTCGTCTGCACGGTGTTTTGAGAAGAATTCAGTTAGTTTTAATTAGTACAAATTTAATCAATTTTAATTAATTTTAACTAGCTAATTTTAAGTCTTTAATTAGTTAAGAAAGGCAGGATTTCACATAAGAATTACAGATTTCAAGCTTCTCTTGAAAAGTTGGAAGCACCAAACACCCAAGCCCGGGCGCTGGTGGGGAGCAGCGGGGGAGGCCGAGCTGCTGACGAGCGGGTCTGGCTCAGAGCAGCGTCCACCCTCGGCCCTCACAGGCCCCGCTGCCCTGCCGCCAGGGCTTGAGCTTGCAGTCTTGGGTCCGCCCGGTCTTTCTGTCTGCGGTGGAGGTAGAGACGCTGACGTGCTCAGCTTAGGAGTCTCAGGTCTCCCCGGGCCGCAGGCCGTGAGGACCTCTGCTGGTCATCCCCGGGGTGGCTGCAGCCACCCTCTTCCGGGGACTGGAACGGGAGCGTCCTTGTGGCCAGGAGGGGACCCTGCTGGTGGCCGCCCGATGCTCAGGCCCCTCTTTCCACCTCTGTGTGCCCCACCCCAGCTTCTGTTCTCGGCTTTGACCTGTGACCTCCGACCTTCAGAGGATTAGGGCGGGGGTCTTCCTGGAAACCTCAGAGGATCGTCTGTCCCGTGGTCACCTCGCGGGAGTAGACCTTGCTGCATGCGCACCGTGGCCATCTCCCGGGTGTAGAGCTTGCTCCATGCGCAGCGTCGCGGTGATGTCACTCACTGGGCCCGCAGGGACCACGTGGATCCTGCCTCAGGGTCCGCGACCCCCTCCCGGCACCTCCAGGACCGCGCATGGGCGGCAGCCGGGCCCCTCGGCTGGCGCGGAACTCTGCGTGGGTCGCTTTCTGCCAGCGCCCGCCGTTCGCGTGGAGCCCACCCTGCTCGGGAGGCTACGGTCCCAGGGCCTAGGCCAGCCTCAGGCACTCCCCACGCGGGCCGCCCCGCCCCGCCCCGCCCTCCTGAGTCCCAAGTGCCCGGGACGGTGGGTTGGCCTGCAGCCCCTTAGCCCCCGCGCGGGGCCACGCAAGCCCGTCCCCTTTCGCCGCCGCCCCCGCCGCCGCCCCCTGCACCTCCGTTCCCTGCAACCCGCGTCGCCTGCATGGCCACCCAAGCCGGTTCCCCTTCCCCCCACAACCTCCCCCATCCCCCTCCCGCCCCCAACACCCCCCACGGCCCCCAGCTCTCCACACCGCCCCTGCCTCCCATACTGTCCCCGCCGCCCCTGCAACCCCCACCCCCACCTGCAGCGCTGCCGCCCCCGCCGCCCCCCGCCGCCCCCCGCCGCCCCCGCCGCCCCCTGCGCCGCCCCCTGCGCCGCCCCCTGCGCCGCCCCCTGCGCCGCCCCCTGCGCCGCCCCCTGCGCCGCCCCCCGGCGCCCCCCACCGCCCCCTGCGCCGCCCCCGCCGCCCCCTGCACCGCCCCCTGCGCCGCCCCCGCCGCCCCCTGCACCGCCCCCTGCGTCGCGAGGCTGCTGGGCTGGGACCCGCGGAGGCTCCGGGCGCCGCTCGCCCCCTGGTGGCCACTCCCCGCGTTGCGTCGGGGAAACCCGAGGCCTCCAGGCGCGCGCACAGGGCGGCCCCACGCATAACCTGGACGTGCTCCTGGGCGCGGGGTTCTGGAAACATCGACCCAGGGAATGGACCGAAAGTACCGATGTCGTCAAAGGGGCTGCTTCTGGGGAGAAGGCGAGGGGCCTCGCCACTGAAGCCGGGAACAGGGCCCGCTGCTGGGACTCAATGAATCTGGACAGTTAAAAGCAAATAAGATGGGAAAAACCGAAACCGTAAGAGAAAGATTCACTTGTCAACTTGTCATAACAATAATAGTAAAAATGATAGCACAGCAGCTTTAGTCACCACAGCCAAGCGGAAGGAGATGTCCAAATGTCCATCCATAAATGAAAAATCAAAATGTGGAGACGCACACAGGAAGGATCGCCGGCCTGAAAGGAAGTTTCCACGCCGCTGCCCCGTGCAGGGACCTGGAGACACGATGCTGAGTGCCCCTGGCCAGGCACAAGAGGACGCCCCCTGTGCGTGGTTCCACTCAGAGGCCCCGCGGTGGCCAGACCCGGCCAGAAAGTGGGATGGGGGCGCAGGGGATTGGGAGGGGGGCGCGGGGGATTGGGGGGGCATGGGGGACTGGGATGGGGGCGCGGGGGACTGGGATGGGGCGTGGGGGATTGGGAGGGGGCGTGGGGGACTGGGAAGGGGGCGCGGGGGGATTGGGAGGGGGCGCGGGGGATTGGGAGGGGGCGTGGGGGATTGGGAGGGGGCGTGGGGGACTGGGAGGGGGCGCGGGGAGATTGGGAGGGGGCGCGGGGGATTGGGGGAGCATGGGGGATTGGGATGGGGCGTGGGGGACTGGGATGGGGCGCGGGGGACTGGGATGGGGCGTGGGGGACTGGGAGGGGGCGTGGGGGATTGGGAGGGGGCGTGGGGGACTGGGAGGGGGCGTGGGGGATTGGGAGGGGGTGTGGGGGACTGGGAAGGGGGCGCGGGGGGACTAGGAGGGGGGCGCGGGGGGATTGGGAGGGGGCGCGGGGGACTGGGAGGGGGCGCGGGGAGATTGGGATGGGGCGCGGGGGACTGGGAGGGGGCGCGGGGGATTGGGGGAGCATGGGGGATTGGGATGGGGCGTGGGGGACTGGGAGGGGGGCACGGGGGACTGGGAGGGGGGCTCGGGGGACTGGGATGGGGCGTGGAGGACTGGGAGGGGGTGTGGGGGACTGGGAGGGGGTGTGGGGGACTGGGAGGGGGCGTGGGGGACTGGGAGGGGGCGTGGGGGACTGGGAGGGGGCGTGGGGGATTGGGAGGGGGTGTGGGGGACTGGGATGGGGCGTGGGGGATTGGGAGGGGGTGTGGGGGATTGGGAGGGGGTGTGGGGGACTGGGATGGGGCGTGGGGGACTGGGATGGGGTGTGGGGGACTGGGAAGGGGGCGCGGGGGGACTAGGAGGGGGGCGCGGGGGGATTGGGGGTGAGTGTGTCTTGGGTGCAGAGCTTCAGTTTTGCAGGACGAAAGAGTTCTGGAGATGATGGGGGTGACGGCCGCACAACAGTGTGAATGTCCTTAATGCCATTGAAGTGTGCAGTTAAAAATAGTTAACATGGTACATTTTATGTCTCTTTTACCACAAAAAAAATACAAAATAATAACAGCAAGGCCTAGGGCTGGCACTGTGATGGGCCGGGCTGCCTCCCACTGAGCCGTGTCCCCTGTGGCTCCTCTGGACTTTATCCCGGGGACCCTCATGGGCTGGAGGGAGGATGTGGCCTGGAGTCGTGTCCTTCACACAGCACCATGACCCTTGCACAGGTCCTAAAGGTCAGCGGCTCCCGTCCCCTTAGGCCGGTGGGAGGGATGCGCGGTGCCTGGAAGGACCAGTAGAGCTTGCAGGGCAGGACCCAGCCCCAGCCTCTGCTTACAAAACTGCACCCACGGCAGCAAAGGCCCCTGCCCTCCAGGCCCAGCCTCCAGCGAGGCCCCCGCTCCGGTCCTGCCCCAGCCCTGAGCCTGGCCACCTGCCGCCCGGTGGAGTCTTGTTTTAGTGGAATCTGCCCCCTGCGATTTGCCAGGAGGAAGAGCTTCCATTGCGCGAGGTCTTGTGTAAAAGTGAGCACATGGGGGGCGCCACGGAGAGCTGGGGCTGGCACTGCCCTGGGTGCCCTGTTCTGGGCGAGAGGCCGTCTGCTCTGCTGGTGACCGTGGATTATAGCACACAGCCGTCGTGTGTTTTGAGCAGTGTCCTCCTATCAGCACAAACGCAGGGACAGGGTGGACGGGCGGACCAGCCCAGAGACTCCCGTGTCAGGTCAGACTCATGGGCCAGGAATGACCTGCAGGCTCCGCATTAGGGGTCTGGGACACACCCAGGGCCAGGATGAGACTGGCCCCAACCCACTAAGACCCGCTCCACTTCGCTGAGACCAGCCCCTCTCTGCTGGGGCTGGGGCTGTCCCGGGTGCCCTGTTCTGGGCGAGAGGCTGTCTGCTCTGCTGGTGACTGCGGATTATAGCACGCGCTAATCCCTCCTCCACGTGGTCCCGAGACCCGGGCCTGGGTAGGACCCGGGGTCTCTGCACATTCGAGGGCTGCGGTCCTGGCCTGGCCTGAGCCTCCGGGTGGGTGTCGCTCTCCCCAGGGGCTCTCCCTGGGGCCCCCGACCCAACAGCCACCGATGTCCACACTGCCTGCTGGTGGCACAGCCTGTGGGTCTCCCTGGAGTGGACAGGAGGGCAGTTTTGTTCTTTCCCTGGGACACTCCTGAGAGCTGGACCAGCCTGACCCCTGCTGCTCAGGCTGGGAGGGAGGTCCTGAGGCCAGGATGTAGCTCCCCTGGGCAGACACAGATGCAGCAGCAGCAGCCCAGCCTCTTCTTTGGCCCATCGCAGATCTCTCTGGTCTGACAGTGGCCTCACCCACTCCCTGGGGTCATCACTGTCTCCTCCTGAGGAGGCCGTCAGTCCCCACCACACAGCCAGCCCCATGGAGCGGCGAGACAGTGGGTCAGACACTCGGGCAGACACCTTTTGTAGAAAAGCAAATTCCACCCCATGCTCTGAGGAACGCACCTGAAACAGCCATAAGGAGGCCGCACAGGAAGCCGAGGTCTCAGGCCAGCGTGGCGGCAGAACACGCAGGCGGTGTGGGTCCATCTCCACACTGCCCTAAAGTACGGACATAAAGGCGTGGACATGCAGGGAGGCGCGAACCCCAGTCACGGCGGGGCCCTTCACTCTGGCAAACTTGACACATACCCCAGACAATGCATGAATGAGGCTATCAGAGATTGAAATCCCACTATTTGCAATTTAGATTTTATTCATATAAAACACGATGTGCATAGAGAATATGCATTTTTCGAAAGCCCATGAAAAAGTTTAAAACATAACCCAAAACCAAGCCACAAATCGAAGCTCAAAACAATTTCACAAAATGAATACCTGCTTAGGCCACGTTCTTTGATCTGAACTTTATAAAACGACATATTAAACCAACAAACAACAACATCTGCCTACTGGAAACGTTTGAATCATTCTCTGTAATGAGTCATGAGTCCAAGAGGAAATCAAGCAAAAATCACGTCCTACGTAGAGGCTGACAGCAACAAGTGTAGTGACACAGCGTCCATGGGCCTGGCCAAAGGTGCCCCGTGAGAGGAATGAATTATTAAATGGTTTATTATTCCTAGTTTTATTCAAATTAAAGGAACATAGCAGTTAACTCAGAAACTAGAACAGGAAAGGAACAACAAAGTCAACAGGAAAAAGAAAAAATAATGAGAAAAGCAGAAATTAATTAATTGGAAAGCAATTAAAACTTGATTTTTTTTGTTTTTTTCCTTTGAGATGGAGTCTCGCTCTTGTCGCCCAGGCTGGAGTGCAGTGTCTCGGCTCACTGCAACCTCCACCTCCCGGGTTCAAGCTATTCTCCTGCCTCAGCCTCTTAAGTAAAACTTGAGTTTTTAGATCCAAAAGGTAGTTCCTTGAAAGAAAATAAGAGGAACAGAGAGTGCAACCAACCCAGGCGTAGCTGGGACTGTGAAGAACAGGAAAGGGACTAAGACAAGGGGGAAGGTAGAGGAGGAAGTGGGTGTTGTGGGGAGGAGAATGGAGGCGGGGGCCAGTGCTGGGAAGGTTGAGGAGGGTGGGGGAAGGGTTGTGGGGAGGCGGGGGGAGGGTGGGGGGCGGTGGTGGGAGGGAAGGGGACAGAAAGGCGGAGGAGAGGGGAGGAAGGCAGAGGAGGGAGGCAGGGAGGGGAGATGGGTGTGGAGGTAAGGGAGGTTGAGAAGGTGGAGGAGAGGAGAGGGGTCTGCAGACTGCACGCCCCTGCACTACTGCGTGTGAAAATTGAGAGGGAACGCCAGTCATCCAGGAACACATGAATACTGAAACATTCAGAAGAAGACGACGAAATCTGCATGCAACAAAACCACGGAAGCCCGGGGCCTGCAAGGCCAAGCCTCCCGGCGGGGCTGCTGTGATCCTGAACCGTGAATGGAGAGCTGGCTGTGGTCTCCCCTTGGCTGGGAGAACTGAGCTCCATCCTGCCCAAATCTCCCTGTTTATTTCATGCAGTTCCATTCTGGATCTAATAAGACCGTGTAGTCAAGGAAATTCCAGCTGGAGAACCAGCCCTTTCCACGTGGAAACGTTCACTTGTGCTTGTGGACGGGGTGGCAGGTGGCCCATGGGAAGAAGGGAGCACAGAAGACCCCATCTCCAAGCGGTCTGGCATACGAGGGCCTGAGGTGTCTGTGGGGGCTGGAGAGAACCAACAGCTGCCACCTGGGGACACAGTCTCATGTGACCCTTTGGGGCTCAGAGGTCTCATCAGGCAGGAGGCGCCTCCCCAGGAGGGAAACACCCCAAACCACAGAAGTGACCAGGGCGGTGCATGGGGTGTGGGAGAGACCAGGAGGAGGTGCCAGCCTGGGCTGGGTGGGCAGGAGCAGGATGCACAGCAGCCCAGGAGGGGCTGGGATGGGGTGGGCGGTACCCCACACTGACCCCCACTGTCCACTTTTGGCCAATGCTGCAACATCCGCATGTGCCAGCCTGGCCGGGGAGAGACAGTTCCCAAGATGCCAGAGAGTTCGGGGCTCTGCAGCCTGGGAGGGCTGCCCTGGGGCTAAGAAGGGGCAGAGATGAGGGTCTCTGTGGGGACAAGATGTGAAGGAGGTCACATGGAGACCTACGTGGCTGGAGCATACTGGACCTGTACCCCATCTGCAACCAAGAGCCACAGTGTGCGCCCAGCTGTCCCCTCCCCACCGTCCACCACCCCCCACCTGTCCTCCTCCCCACAATCCGCCAAGTGTCCCCCTCCCCACCACCAACCACCTGTCCCCTGCCCCTCCCCCACCACCTATCCCCCTCCCCACCACCCACCACCTCTCCCCCTGCCCCTCCCCCACCACCTGTCCCCCTCCCCACCACCCACTACCTGTCCCCCTGCCCCTCCCCTGCCACATCACTGCCCTTTTCTCCCGAGGCTGAGGCTGTTCTGGGTTCTCCCTTGTAACCAACTGAGGCCTGGATTGTCTCCCAAGAGACACGAGAGGGCTTGGAGCATTCGACTTGCTTCCAGGCCTTTCCCCCACTTCCAGCAGTGCAGGCTTTTAAAAAACAATTTTATCGAGGTGCAATTCACATGCCATAAATTGCACCCATTAGAAGCAGTTGTTAAACATGTCTGACAGATGAACACAACCATTAACCTCTACCCCCATCAGACACAGAACAATTCCACTGACCCCGAGCCTCCACCACAGGCACCTGCTCACCTGCCTCCTTCCAGGACGGAGCCTCCCTCCCCTACAGATGGACTTTCCCAGGCTGGACTCTGGCCCCTCCAGCACGAGGGTGCTGAGACTCACTCAGTTGTTATTTCCTTTTAGTCTGAGTAGTCCCTGTTATGTGGATGTACTGCGTGTTTATCCTTCATCCCATAATGGATATTCGGGTTGTTGCCAGTTTTTAGCAGTTACATGAGAACAGGGTACAACCCCTGTGCATGGGCTTTTGTGGGATCATGCATTCACATCTCTTCAACAGATGCCTAGGAGTGGAACTGTGGTTCATAAAGTAGACACGTGTTAAACTCCACAAGAAGCTGCCCCACTGTTTTCCAAAGTGTTTGTAACATTTCACATCCCCATATACTACTCCACAGCCTTGTCAACACTTAGTATTGTCAGCTTCTTAAATTTTAGCCTTTATAGTAGGAGTGGTTTGGTACTTCAGGCCTTAATGACAAAGGATTATGATATTTATGATATTAGGTACATTTTCACGTCTTATTTAAGTGTTCAAATCTTTTGCATATATTTATTTATTTATTTATTTTTTTAGACAGAGTCTTACTCTGTCGCCCAGGCTGGAGTGCAGAGGTGAGCTCTCGGCTCATTGCAACCTCCACCTCCCAGATTCAAGCAATTCTCCTGCCTCAGCCTCCTGAGTAGCTGGGACTACAGGCACCCGCCACCACACCAGCCTCATTTTTGTATTTTTAGTAGAGGTGGGGTTTCACCATGTTGGCCAGGCTGGTCTTGAACTCCTGACTTCAAGTGACCAACCTGCCTCGGCCTCCCAAAGTGCTGGGATTACAGGTGTGAGCCACTGCGCCCGGCCTCTTTTGTGTGTTTTAAGAAGTGGGCTATTTTCTTATTACTCAGTTGTAAGCGTCACTTACGTGTCTGGATACAAGTCCTGTATCAGATACAAGGAATATGAATGTTTCCTCCCAGGTGTGGCATTTTGTTTGCTTCCTGTGTCACTGGACACAGATCTACAAGTTTGACAGGGTTAGCTTTTAGTTTGGGTCTCAAATTAGTGTTTGTGAAAGGGACGTGATAAAGTCTGATGTTCATCTTCCCCTGTGGATATCCAGCTGTTCTTGAACTATGTGATCTAGAGACCACCCTTTCCCCAAATGAATTACGTGGACACCCTTGTTGGAAATCTGTGGTCCATGTGGGTGGTCCTATTGCCGGACTCCACCAGCTTCCCTTGGTCTCCATATCTCTGAGCTCTCCGACGTCACTTTTCTTAGTCACAATTGTTCTGGCTATTGTAAGTCTTTTGCATTTCCATCTCAATTCTGAATCAACATTTCAATTTCTAAGAAATAAGCCTGTGAGATCTCTGTTGGATTGCACTGAATCTATGGATCAATTTGGGGAGAATGTTCACCTTAATAATGAGCCTTCCAATTGTCAATGAAAAGAGTCAAACTATGTAAAATATATGAAGAGATTTATGCTGAGCCAAATATGAGTGACCATGACCCTTGACGCAGCCCTCAGGAGATCCTAAAACATGCGTCCAAGGTGACTGGGCACAGCCTGGTCTCATACATTTAAGGGAACATGAGACACCAATCAAATACATGTAAGATATACACTGCTCTGGTGTGGAAAGGTGGGACAACCTGGTGGGGGCTGGCTTCCAGGTTACAGGTAAAGCTAAACATGTCGGGATTGGCAATTGGTTGAAAGAGTTATTATCAATAGAAAGGGATGTCTAGGTTAAGTAAGGGGTTGTGGAGATCAAAGTTTTAGCAGCAGATGAAGTCTCTGGGTCGCAGGCTTCAAAGACTAGATTCTAAATGATTCTTATCAGACTTAAGGTCTGTGTTGACGTTGAAAGTTGGTCGGCTTTCCCTGAATTCCAAAAGGGGGTCAGGTATAATGACGAGTATCCATCCCTCCCTTCCCCTCATGGCCTGAACCAGTTTTTCAGGTTAACTTTGGAATGCCCTTGCCCAGAGGAGTGGTCTGTTCAGACGGTTGGGGGCTTAGAAGTTTATTTTTGGTTTACACAATCCATGAACAAGGTCTGTCTCCCCCATTTGTTTAGCTCTTCACTAATTTCTCTCAGTAATGTTCTGCAGCTTTCGGTATAGAGAACTTACACATTTTTCATTAAATGCATTCTTAGATATTTTCTGATTTTCATTGGCGTTGTAAATACTGTTTTTCAAATTCTGTCTTCCAATTATTTGTTGCTAGATTATAGAAGTACAATTACTTTTGTATATAGACTTAGTATCTCATGACCTTGCTAAATGCCCTTATTTCTAGTATTTTTGATAACCTGTTAGGATTTACTGCCCTGACAATTGCATCATCTGTGAACAGAGACTCTGCCGCTTCCTTCCCAATCATTTTGTCTTCTAATGTCACGCTTAGGTTTCTCGGATAGCTTGCTTGCAACCAAGATGCATGCCTGTGATTGTGGCGGAGCTTGATGCAAACCTCCTCCGACCGCAGGATGTTCCTGTAGCCGGACATCACTCCACCTGTGGGCAGGAGGGTTATCACCTCCAAGTTCTGGAAATGAGGACCAGGCAGTGTAGGCTTCAAACTCCACCTTGCAGTAGGCCAGATTTCCACTGGTTATTTTAATGTTTTTCGAACACTCTTTCGTTAGATGACATTATTCTAAACAGCTGCCTGTGATTCCAAAGAGGTTCAAACCTCCCCCTTTCCCTAGTAAAGATGGGCTATTTAAGCATGATTTTGTGAAAGTCTGGCTATAGGGAGACTTGGGGGCATCGGGATTCAGTGTTCTGCTGCTGGGCCAGGCAGGGCTCAACTGGGAGGGGCTGGGCCTGCTAGGGCCGCTGTCCGGGGCCCCAGTGGGGCTCAGAATTCAACTCCATGCCCAGAGGACCAGGTGGGACACCCTTCCAGGGAAGAAGTGTGGCAGGCACAGGCCCAGGTTAGCCCCACTGCTGTGGGGCTGTGACAGGCTGTGAGGGACCTGCGCTCACTTGGGGGATGCGGAAGCCAGGAGCTCCGGGGCTCCAGGCAGGCCAGGGACAACGCTTCTTCCTCTGGGCTTTGCTTCTCCGCTCAGCTGCCACAGGGCTTCTGGCTTCTGGCTTCACAGACAAGGTGCTGAGGACGGTGGCCCGGCTCAGCCTCTGAGAGGATGGGGGCCACAGCTGCAGGCAGGCCTGGGCTTGGGGCTAGTGCTGGGAGGCCTGACACAGGGGCATCCATGTCAGTCCCCCTTCTCCAGACCTTTGGGCCCCTAGGCCCTTGTGATGGGCTACCCCTGGCCGCTGGGAGTGTTAGGAGGTCAGCTCGTGGAAAAAGTGGGGGCGAAGGCCTGGCGGGAGTGGGGGCTGGAGAGAGGGGCAGCTGCAGCAGAGACCCACTGGCCAGCAAGCCAGGTAAGGCATTTACAGGGCGCACCGCACCTCTACCAAGCAGATTCAGATGGGAGCAGAAGCACCTGTCATTCAGCAAGGTGAGACTGGGGAGACGTCTGGAAATGTGGGAGGAAAAACTGGCTGAGGCCATGTGCAGGCCAGTTCACTGCACATGCTGGGGCATGGCAGGCCGGTCCGCGCCCGTCTTCCTGCATATGGGGTGCCGTCTGCACGGGAGCATGCATGTGTATGTCTCTGTATCTCTGTGTCATGTGTATGTCTGTATGTTTACGTCTCTGTATCTGTGCATATGTCTTGGTGGTGTCTGTACGTGTGTGTACGTATGAGGGGGGCTGTTTTTGTGTTGCTATAAAGGAACACAGAGACTGGGTATCATAAAGAAAATAGGTGTAATTGGCTCACGGTTCTGCAGGCTGTACAGGAAGCATGGTGCCAGCATCTGCTCCTGGTGAGGCCTCAGGAAGCTTCCACACATGGTGGAAGGTGACGGGGAGCCAGCGTCACATAGCAAGAGTGGGAGGAGGGGAGGGCAAGGGGGGGGTCCCGGACTCTTTTAAACAACCTGCTCTTGAGTGAGCTAACTGAACAAGAACTCACTCATCACCAAGGTGATGGTGCTAAGCCATTCATGAGGGATCCGTCCTCATGATCCAACACCTCCCGCCAGGCCCCACTTCCAACACTGGGAATCACATTCCAACATGAGATTTGGAGGGGACAGAGAATCCAAACCACATCAGTGTGTGTGCGTGTCTGCGCATGTCTGTGTCCATCTGCATGTGCACGTCTCTGCACGTCTGCATGGATCTGTGTGTCTCTGTGCATGTGTGTCCATGTATTAGCATTTGGTCCAAGCCTTGCTTCCAGAGCCACAGCCACCACAACAGCACCAGCTGAGGGAAAGGGCTGCTCGAATGCCACTGCCTCCCTATGCTGACGGGGACCTTAACCACAGGGACAGCCCTGCGTCTCTCCAGCCAAGGCAGAGGACTGGCCGGTTGGTCTCAGAAGGCAGTGGGTGGGCAGGGTCCTCATTCTCTGGCAGAGATTTCTTGGGCCTGGACTATGGGTGCTAAGGCTGCCGGGGAGTGGGGGCCCAGGAGCTGGGGATGGGGCACTGCTGTGGGGTGGGCTGCAGAGCCCACCTGAGCCCCTCCAGGAGGGGAAGGGGTCTCTGCGGCCTGCAGCCCCCAGACATCACTGTATATGGCTGGAGCCTACAGGCTGGAGGGCCGGGATCCACACTGCTGGGCCCCTGCTGATCCCTCCAACCCAGGGCTTCTCCCAGGGACCAGCTCTCCCTGCCATCCCTGACGCTCAGGCACTTAACTATTTGACAAACCGATAATGAAACACGCAAGGACGGGGACCGCTGGAGGCTCGTGAGGGCCCAAGCACAGGATCCATTCCCAGATGCCAGTGTCACTCCCAAGTCACCTGCGTTTGTAAATCTCTATTTTGGGTGGAGCCCTCTGGAAGCCCACGCCCCACTGTCTGTGGCCACTCCTCGCAGTCCTCAATGGAGGTTTCTGTAAGTTCTTCACGAGTCTCCTGGCTCTTCCCTCAGAGCAGCTGCCTCTAGATTACAACTGCCAAGTGCTGTTGGTGGCAGAAGCCCTACCTCCCCACTCCGAAGCAGCTCCTGCAGGAAACCTGGGCCTTGTGTGGCTGGGGAACTCCCAGGACTCCTGCCACGCAGGGGGACCCGAGGGCAGCTTGGGCAGGCCCCTCGCGGCCGGGGGCGGATTCGCTCGGCTACACCTGACCGGAGAGACAGGTGAGGGACTGGTCTTTGTGGGTCCTGCGGGGTCCCCTTGGGGCTGTGGCTCCCTGCCTTGCTGTCTCCAGGCGGGAAGGGGGTGGGAGCCATCCTTCTGTGGGAAGGGGTCTAGGAGCCCCGCTGCTGTTCATCCCCACTTCCCCTCGGCTTCCTGGCCTGTCCTGCGTGTAAAGGGAGCAGGCTGCCCTGGCGAGCTGGCCCCATGGCTGGCTCCTCTCTGCCTGGAGGGAAGGAAGGGCCCCTCCTCCTCCGCGTTGCCCCTCCTGTCTTCCAGCAGGGCCAGGTTCTGCCCACCCGTGGAGAAGGCCAGTACAGGGGAGAGAGCCAGGGCTCCCACAAAGCAGGGGGTCCCTCCAGGTGAGGCGCTCCATCCTGTAGTGTTCCCTTAAATTCTGCAAGCTACCCCAGATCCCCCATTTCCAGCCAACAAATCCTTTTTAAGTTCCTTTGAGATTTGTTCGTGTGGCTTGCTACACTCAGGACTCTGGAAAGAAGGCCCAGGCCAGAGCTTTGGGCAGGCGGCCATTTAGGGCAAGGGCCCTGTGTTGGCTTCCTGGTGGGGTTGCCCTGCTGGTGGGCGGGAGACCAAGAGCACCCCCGCAACACCAGGAGGCAGGTCGCGGATTGTGCTGTCTACACTCCGGAAGGGGTACATTCCAGGGGCTGCTGCCCCAGACTCACCCCTCGCCTGGGACCCGCACTCTTGAGCTGTGGGTACCACGGTGGCCGTCCCCTTCTGTTCTGTGCAGTGGACTTCCTGGCTCCTCCTTAGCCTTGGGGCCCCCACAGCCCTCGGCTTGGCTTCCCTCCCCATAGCCAGGCCCTGGGTAACTCCAGGGGAAAGTGACCCTGAGGCCCCCCACTTCTCCCCGTGTCCTGCACAGGCCTTGGGCTTTCGGCGGTGCTGTCTGCCGCAGCCCCACGCCTTCCTGGGAGAGTGGCCCAGGCCCCCCTTCCTGAGTGTGACTGCGCTGCCGTCTGCGAGGCCTGCGCGGGTCTCCCCCGGGCTGTCCCTGCTGGGATGGGGACTGGTGGCCCCGGGCCACGTCCTGGATCCGGCTTGCTCCTTGGTACAAGCCCGTACGGGTCACGGTCAGGCAGGAGGGCGGGCGGCGGGGTCCCGGGGGCGCCGAGTTCGGGGCCGTGCGGTCCCCAAGAGCAGGCTGTGCGTGTCCCTGTTGGAGCCCCACGAAGGCGGCCCAGGGCCACCCCTGAGGGCGCGTGGGCCCGACCCGCGTCCCGGATCCAGCTTGCGGCCAGGAATGCAGGTGTTCCAGGGTGCCAAAAGGAAAACGCACAAGGCCTCGTCGAGGAGGGGGGGTCAGGAGGGGACCGGGGGTGGGAAGAACGCGGGGGAGAGGGATGGCAGGGTGCCCGCCCGAGGGACCGACACCTCCGCGAGTGGCACCCCAGGATGCTGACGCCGGCGGGGGTGGGGGCCCGAGGGGCGGTCGGGGTCAGGGGGCGGCCCCAGGGGTAGGGCCGCAGCACGAGGGGCCGCGTGACCCCGGCGGTGACCGGGTGGGGAGAGGCCGGCGCCGGGGCTGGGAGACGGCCGTGGGTGGGAGGGTGCCCCGTGGGGACGCTCCTGCCGCAGCGCCCGGCCACGCGCGAGGCCCCGCCCTCAGGACGCGTTCGGCGGGACGGACCCGCCCACCCCGCAGCCGCGCGCCCGCCGCGCCGCCTTGTGGGCGCTGTAGTCCCGGAGTCCGCGTGCGCGGGGCCGGGTCCGGGAGCCCCAGGGCAGCCGCCCCGCCGAGTCGCAGGTACCGGTGGGGAACGGGGCCACGGGGCCGCGTGTCGGGGGCTGCGGGGTGTCTCGGGGCCCTGGGGTGAGTGCGGGGCGCGGGCCGAGGTTTGCAGGGCCCTGTGAGGTGAGTGTGGGGGCTGGCGCTGGGGTCCGCGGGGCCCTGGGGAGGGTGCGGGGCGTGGGCCGGGGTCTGCGGTCTGCAGCCTGGGGTCCGCGGGGCCCTGGGGAGGGTGCGGGGCGTGGGCCGGGGTCTGCGGTCTGCAGCCTGGGGTCTGGGGGGCCCTGGGGAGGGTGCGGGGCGTGGCCGGGGTCTGCGGTCTGCAGCCTGGGGTCTGGGGGGCCCTGGGGAGGGTGCGGGGCGTGGGCCGGGGTCTCCGCGGGGGTCGCGGTGGCCCGGGCGCCTGGCAGAACCGTTGCTGTGCAGCGGGTTTCCCGCCGCTCGCTTTCCGCCGCAGCCTGCGAATGGGGTGGGGAGTCCCGGCCCCCAGCCTGCCCTCCGCGTCATCCTGGGGCGCCAAGTCCCACCCCCGGGTCTGGAGGAAAGCGTGGATCCGGCGTTCGCGCCCAGGCACGTGTTGCTTCGGGACGGGCCAGCCGGTGGGTGAACCCTGCCAGCCACGCGTGGGGCGGGCCCCTGGCACATCTCCAGACCATTGTCTCCTGTGCCAGAAGCTTTGTAGGTGCAACTTCCCCTTGGAGCAGCTGTGGGTGCGGATCCAGCGGAGCAATCCCGAGGCGTCTCAGAGAGAGCCTGGACAGCCGCTGGAGCCTTTCCCGAGTGGGTCCTTCCAACACCGCTACAGCAGGAAAGCCATCCCCCTAGGGTCCTGTCCATCGGAAACTCCTGTCCTGGGGAGTCTGGCCTGCCTGGCCTCAGGACACAGGCCAACTAAGCTGGCCCCGAAATCCAGAATGCATCCAGAGGGAAGGTGGGATAAAGTCCTTGGAGGCGCCTGTTGGCCGCCCTGTAAAGAGGTGGCCTCCCCCTACGGAGACCCGAGGATCCCCGCACAGCCCAGATTCAATCAGCAGAGCCGAGGTGCCTCTGGCCCAGTGCACCTGCCTGCCCTGTCCAGGCCTGGGAGCCAGGCTGCATCTCACTGGCCGCCTTTGCCTGGGTGCCACCTGTGCACTGCTTGTTGCAATTGCTAATTGCTTTCTTTCCGAAGGGGCTTTGGTGGATTTTTATAATTCCAGATAGTACAGTTATCTCTGCTGGACACAGATGAGAAAGAGTGCTTCTCGGGTGTTTGGGCCTGCAGCAGTGATAGCCGGAGGGTCTAATTATGCTGTTAGGAACCCTGAACTTGGTCATCTGAACAGGGGTGGGAGGGTGTGCAATGCTTTCTTCTTCTTCTTTTTAAACTAGCAGGCGTTCTAAAAAACATAACGAACATTCTTGGTTAGCCTTCCAGAGTAGGAGCTGGTTTAAACACGGAATGATAGGTGGCGTTTGCTTGTGTTTTGATTGCGGGTCTCTGGCCTTCTCTGGTGCTTGGAAGGACAGGGCCTGGGTGGGGCTGGTCACTGTGGACAGTGGGGCCGGGGATTTGCAGGGGCTGTTACAACCTTCTCCTGAAGGCAGGGATTCTCTCTGCTTCCCCGTGGCCCTCCTGTCTGGTCGGGGACTTCCTTCAGATGCCGGGAAGAGGCCTCAAGCTGTATGGGACTGGGCTGGGGTCTGGACACTTGGAGTCTAGGCGTCCCCTGGCTTGGGGCTGCGTTTCTATGATGGTGACCAAGTTCCCTATCTTTCCTCTTGGAGGTGGTCTGGGCCGTGATGGCCAAGCCTCTGTCAGTGGGCTACGTTCACGGCACATAAGTTGAGTATGCTGGCAGCAGAGGCTGACTGTTAAGACCAGCAGCAGCCCCTTGCTGGCGGAGACTCTGGCTGTCTCTCCAAGGAAGGAATGTTCTGGTCGCTTCTGGAGGTGGCACCTTTCAGAACAGGGGGCCCAAGTACCCAGGGCTCCCGGGCCCCTGGGGGTCCTGTGGGTGGGGATCTGACTCCTGCGGCCATGGACTGTGGGCGCAGACCCTGGGCTTAGTTCAGCTCCTGATGGCTCCCCGTTGTCTGCGGCGATCTGGTTGCTCTGGTTGTCTGGGGATCGGTGCGCCTGTCTAAACCTGCTGACAGGTGGGAAAGTGAACTTGACAGGGAGTCCCAGGGCCAAATGGGTCTCCCAGTGGGGAGGAGTGGGTGCGGTCTGAGGTATGTCCAGCTCTACCCGTGGCCTCTCTGGGCATCAGGGTCCCTGGTGATGGAGCCCAACCTTTGTGCACTGATCTTCCCAGCTGTTGACAGGCCCTGAGGAGGCATGGAAGGTGAGGCCGAGGCAGGCGACCGTCAGATCTGCCTCGGCCTGGCAGTGGCCCCTGCCTGCGCTTCCTCCTGCCTGGCCGGCTGTTTTCATCCTGGCCCTTTGAGAACTTCTAGGGTCCTGGCTGCCTCCAATGGAGGGTGCTGGTCCCATCTTCTTCCCAGCTGTGCCCTGCCGTGGAGCTCCGGAAACCTCGAGGTTCCCCTAACCCTTCCCCCTCTTCCCTGCGGCCCCCATTGCAAGCCCACCAGCCTCTGCCTCTTAAGGGCTTCCCTGCCATCACCTATGTTCCTTTGTCACAGACATGAGTGTGTAGAGGTGTCAAGACGGGACCCCAGATGATGCTGATGGCTTTGCCTAAGTGGCCTGGGGAGGGTCTCTCTCTCTGGTCCCTGAAGGCCACCTTTTTCCTAAGCCTGTGTGTCAGGTTGGGGGCGGTTCAGGGAGCACTTCCAGCCTGAGTGGTCTCTGATACGTGAAGACTGAATGCTGAGAGCCTGGGGCAGATTTTCCTAGGGGTCCCTGGACCCCCAAAGCTGGCCCCACATCGAGGGATGCTCTGAGCCCCTGCTGGAGGGTTGGAGGAGACTTCTCAAATCCAGACCCTCTGCAGACCCCCTGCCACCCTCCCAAGCCGGCCCTGTGGCGAGGCACAATTGTCCAACTGTCAGCCCAGTGCAGATGGGACGGCGACCCCGCCCCACAAGGCTGCTCAGCTGCCCTCTGCATGCGCTGCATCCCCACCCCACCTGAGCAGCAGATGGCCTTTCCACGTGCACTCTGCCAGGCCTGGCCTCCGGGAGCAGAGGTCAGCTGATACAGACGTGAGGTGCACCTGTGGGGGACCAGGGCCAGGTCCTGGCCTCACGGGGTTGGCTTGGTGTGGGCGTCTGACACACTTGTTTATGGCAGTTCACTTTTGACTTACTTGAAGGAGAACTTTACACCGAGGCCTTAATGGAAAACCAGGGCCACGTGGCACCTGGAGACATGATTCTGATAAGTGGACAGGCTTTTGCCCCGCAGCTGAAAGGCACGATTTGTGGTGGTGAGACGTGCCCTTGCCCGCACCGGAGGAGCCTTTCTCCTGGGCAGAATCAGGACTGAAAGAGACACGCCCTCGAGTGTGCTTCGTGCTGCTGCTGCTCCACCACGTGCCCTGGCCGTGTGGGGCGGGGGTGCTGGCGGGATGGTCCCCAAGGTTGGGTGCATGTTGCCTCGTGGATGAAGTCCTGTGGTCTGGGGTGCTCCATCTGGAACGTGTCAGGTCCACTCATGGCTCCTGCCAGCTGCTTTCGTCTAGGGTAACCTGCCGCCGGGGATGCTGGGGTCCCTGGGCTCAGGGGCTGGGCCTCGGCTCCATCCCATCCTCCCTCCCACGCGTGTTTCAACCCTGGCTGCTCTCAGCCCCCTCAAGGACACCTGCTTTTCCCTCTGCCCTTCCCTCACTGTGGGCTTGGCCTGCACGCCCTCCTGCCAGGGCACGCGGCTGATGGGGACCTGAGGCTGGTACCTGCAGCCACCCGCCGCTGGCCACCTGTGGTGTGACCCCGGCCTCCAGCAGCGTCCGTTCCTGCCTGTGCCCTCCCTGGGCCACCTGGGTGCCGCTAGAGCAGCAGCAGGCACGTGGGCTGCCCTCAGGCCTGTGGGGTGAGGTGTGCCCCCTGACCGCCACAGGTACTGCCCAGCAGTGCCATGAGTCTAGTGTGGCCCCAAACCCTAAATTTTGTTAGTTTAGTTAATAAAGTAAGTCAATTAGTTAATTAACTTGGTTTTGATTGGCACTTAAATCACTCCATGTGGCTGGAGACTTCCCTCAGCCTCGGAGACCCTGGAGGTGGTGACAGCCTGGCCTGGGGGACTCCGGAGCAGCTCAGGTGTGGGTGGCTCCCAGTTTGGTGCTACGGGGTGAGGATGGGTCTGGGGTCTGCATTCGTCTCCAGGGTGGCGTTTGGTCCTGAGTGGCGAGGAGGCCGGCACTGGGCCTCGTTTTGCGGGGTAGGGAGGCCTGCAGACCATCTTCCAAGGTGCCCTGACTCCACCCCTCCTTCCAGGCACAGCGTCACCTTCGTCCCCTCCGGAGCTGCACGTGGCCTGAGCAGGATGGTGCCCTCCAGCCCAGCGGTGGAGAAGCAGGTGCCCGTGGAACCTGGGCCTGACCCCGAGCTCCGGTCCTGGCGGCACCTCGTGTGCTACCTTTGCTTCTACGGCTTCATGGCGCAGATACGGCCAGGGGAGAGCTTCATCACCCCCTACCTCCTGGGGCCCGACAAGAACTTCACGCGGGAGCAGGCATGTGGGTGCCGGGGTGCCGGGCGGCCGCCTGTGGGTGGGTGGGCGGGGAGCAGCGTCTGGAATAGGCACGTGGGCGCCGGGATGCGGGGGCGGCCGCCAGTGGGTGGGCAGGGAGCAGCTTCTGGAATAGGCACGTGGGCGCTGGGTGCCAGGGCGGCTGCCTGTGGGTGGGCGGGGAGCAGCTTCTGGAATAGGCACGTGGGTGCCGGGGTGCCGGGCGGCCGCCTGTGGGTGGGCGGGGAGCAGCTTCTGGAATAGGCATGTGGGCACCGGGGTGCTGGGCGGCCGCCTGTGGGTGGGCGGGGAGCAGCTTCTGGAATAGGCACGTGGGTGCTGGGTGCCAGGGCGGCCGCCTATGGGTGGGCGGGGAGCAGCTTCAGGGGCCAGGGCGCTTTTCCTGTTGGATGTGTGAGCACTTGAGGCTGGAGCGGGTGAGTGGCCGTGTCAGCTGATAATATGGTCCTGGAGGGAACCCGGCTGGGGTCTCACACTCCCAGCAGCGGGCACCATCAGATGGAGGGGCCTGGCTTCGGCCTAGTAACCAGGCTAGATAAAAAGTGATATTGTGTCCTGCAGAGAGAGAGCCTGCCCCACCCCACCCGCCAGGCCGTGCTCATCGGCCCTCCTGGTGAGGAAGCCCACGTCCAACCCTGCTGGGCACCTGCCTTCCACAGAGACTTAGTGGCTATTTACCTAAAGAGATTATTGAAGGAATTTTCATTTTACTCAGCCATGAGGACAAAGGGTCTTATTGAAACTGTTCTAATAGGCTTATGCCCAGTCACGGGTCTCTCAGGTCACATGAGCGGTGGAGGCGGGAGCGGCCGTATCCGAAGCAGTTTCCTCCTGGAGCTGTGGGGTCCTTGTCCATAAGGCACATCTGCACAGGAAGAGCCTGGAAAAGCGCTCTCACAGGCTGCCGGCCCAGCTGGTCACCCCGACACCCCATCCCAGGGCCCTGGGCCTGCTCACCTGCCCATCCCAGCCGCTGACCCCGTCCTCTGCTCCCACATGGCTGACGCTCGGCATGCCTCTTGTTCCCTGTGTCTCCTGGCCGGAAGCCGGACCCCAACCCTCCCAGACCCTAGAATTGTGAAACTGATGTGCAGCTGAGGAGTGTGCTATTGGGACAGTGGAGGTGCTGCCCTTCCCGCGTGCCCAGCTCAGAGCACCGTGCGGTGTGATTGTGTCTCGTCCCACGGCCAGCACTGCTAACCGCCAGGCTGGGTCACTTTCTAGGCGAGGACAGGGTCTTGCCCTGGCTCCGGCTGTCGGTGGCGGGGCTGGGGCTGGAGCGGCGGAGCCATCTCCTTGACCCCTCATGAAATGCCTTCTGCTCCTGGCCAGTCCGTCCCTCTCCCTGCCACCCACTGACCAGATGGCATCTCTGCTCTTAGTGGAGGGCCACTGTCCACCGCCAAGGTTATTTATAGGGGTGAGCATTATGTGTGGCGTTTCCCTTAAAATAACAAAATAAGAAAAGTCTCTAGAGCAAAAATGTTTAAATCCCATCTGCCTGCCCTCTCATGTTGTACATTAACGGATTAAAAAGTAGATTCCAGAAATTAAGCCATTCCACCAGGCCTTGGATATCATCAGAGGGACGATGGGTGCAGGTGCTCTGCGCACCTGCCACTTGGTGGGGCCCCCGATCTCAGCCCCTCTGGCTGCAGGAGAGGCCCGGGGAGAGCTTCATCACGCCCTCCCTCCTGGGGCCCGACAAGAACTTCACGCGGGAGCAGGCACGTGGGCGCCGGGGTGCAGGGGCAGCCACCAGTAGGTGGGCGGGGAGCAGCTTCGGGGGCAAGGGAGGCCCAGCCTGCCAGGACTCGCCAGCCCCTGTTGTTGCCAGGCTTGTGTCTAGGAAGTTCACGTAAGTGGTGTCTTGTGACCCAGCTTTCGCAAGTTGCTCTCCTGCCCAATCTGACTTGAGAGACGTTCCACGTGGGTTCGAGGCTGTTCTTAAGCTGCGCCTCCTGGGTTGAACTACAAGGTGCTTATCTGCTGCTTTGCTGGAGGTGATTAGGGGATTCCGGCTTCTCCCACTGCAGGTGATGGCTGCAGGTAGAGCACGAGCTGGCAGCCTCAGGCAGTGGGCCTTGACCCAGCTGGCCCGGGCTGGCACTTCCAGTTCACTCCTGGGGCGAATGCTGCTTCCTCTGCAGCCTGCCACGGGCTGCCCACGTTCCCCTCACCAGCTCGGGTGGGCTGCTGAGCGCCGGCCGTCTGGCCGCTGTGAGGAGCGTGGTTTCCTTTGCTCACATTTGCTCTGCCGCCATTTCTCCCGCCGTGGGCCAGTGTTTCCTGGCAGCCCTGTGGTTGCTGTCCTCCTCGGACCTGGTTCCCTTTTCTGCCTCCTGGGGACCCCGTGCCCTTGGGATTGGACTGGTTGTGTGTTACATACGGTGTTTCTCTGGAGTCATTTTGAATTTGGCCAAATTTCCCTCCAGGGTTTCTGCTTTGAGTGTCAGCTGAGAGCGCTTTCCCCGGCCGAGTCCGTGAGGTGCTCCTGGGTGCACTGAGGTTGCCTGGGCCCCCGCTGGAACTGTGCTGTGTGGTGGGAGCTGCAGCCCCCGCCCTCCTCCAGGGAGACCCCCCGGCCCAGGACCCTGTGCACAGCAGTCCCTCCTGACCTGCGGCCCATGCCCCGTCCCCAGCCAGCCCCTGTTGGGTGCCCTTCTGTGGCATCCAGTCCTGCTGCCCCACGCCTGGCCCTGCCCTCGCGTCCTGCCTGCCTTCGGGCCTTGCCCACCTTCCCGCCTCCCTGTTCAGAGAAGCCGCCCTGAGGCCGTCTGGACGTAGATTTGGGCGCAGCTGCCTGCACTCTGCCCATTCAGCCTGGACCCCAACCAAGACCTGTGGAGAGCAGGGCCGACGCTGGGCTCAGGCAGCAGGAGGCTGTCCTCGTGTCAGAGTCGTGGCCGCCTGACAGATGCCACCTCCCTGCTGGGACCGTTGTGAGGGCCCCTCCCCCAGCAGCCTTGTAAGTGGGACGCAGGTCACAGCTCTGGGCAGAGCCTCCCTGCTGTCTGCCTGCCAAGGCTGAGGAAGAGGGAGTAGGGGCCGTTGAGGAGGTGCAGGGAGAGGAGCGGGAGGGCTCTGGGTGGCTGCCAAGGGGGAGCTCTGCGCTCAGACCCTCAACTAAGACCAGGAGGTGCCTGATGAGGCCCCAGCCTGCAGAGCCAGCTCCTGGTGGAAGAGGAAATGAGGCATGCTCCATTCATTCGGAGGTGGGTGAGGCTTCTAGGACCCCTGGCCGCCCTTTTCCAGAGAGCCGTGGGGTCTGGGGAGAGCCTCTCTGCTGGCTGTCTACCATTTTGACTCTGGGCTGTGGGCAGAACCTGTGCCCCGGCCAGGGGCTGGGGCTGTCATGCCCCCACGCAGCCTCCTGTGTCTGGGGGTCGGGGGTCCCTGAGGTCCTAGGAGGACCCCTGCCTCTGAGCCGCTTCTTTCGGAATCTGCAGGGGTTCCCTGGGCTGGCCCTGAGGAGGAGCCTCCCCCAGTCGAGCAGGCCATCAGCCAGGAGAGCTTGCCCACAGAGGGGCTGTTTGATGTCCCCAGGACATTGCTGTAAACACAGTGCAGAAGCCGATGGCTGGCCCTGAGGCTCTCTGTGACCCGGCGGGCTCACTCAGCCTCCTGGCACATAACCTGCCCTCAGAGTGTCCCGGAATGTCCTGAGCAGGACGGAGTGCCGGAGGGACCTTGGGTGCCTGGTGCTGCTGGGACCACAGCCTTTGGGTCAGCCTGGCCTCCATGAGGGTGCAGGCTCCAGGGTGCGACCTCAGGGTGCCCTGAGGTGGGGTCTCTGGGCAGCCTTCCCCTGAGCCCCTGGGAAGCTTCTCAGCATGCCGGCCTGGCTGCAGGGTCCTATTGCCCAGCTGTTCACAGTAGCCGGTGGCCGGGCTCTGAGCACATCGGGCCACACATCTTGGGTGTGCCAGACACGAGGCTGAGAGCCCCCGGGGAGGCGGCGTGGCTCGGCGCAGCACCCCACGTGCTGACCCAGGGTTTGGTCCTGCCAAGTGTGGCTGGCAGGGGCTGAGGTCACCTGGGGCAGCACGAGTGGGGCTGTGGGGTTACTGGTGGTCAGGCCTGAGTCGGGTGGGGCCTGCTGGAGGCCCAGAGTCCAGCAGGGCCCTGCTGGCTCATCTGGTACCAACCTCCAGTGGATCTGAGGTGGGGTCTGGTGGGGCCTGTGGGCGGGGCCACCTGCTGAAAATGCACCTGGGCCCCAGGGGAGGCTCCAAGCATAGGGTGGCTCCCACATCAGTCCCCAGGGAGGGGCAAGGCAAGCGGCTTGGCCTCACAGGGGTGGGGCCTCTTCCTCTGGACTGTGCCCAGGTGTGCCCAGGTGTGCCCACAGCAGCCCTGGCCCCTGCCAAGACAGCTGAGGACGTTTGGTGCCTGCCTGTAGTAGTCTGGGGCAGTGTCCTCTGACCTTGTCCTGTAGGAGGTAGCACCCCCAGCCCCGTGCCCAGCTCCACGTTCCCATGGAAGGTGGATGTGTGTTGAGGCCACAGGCATGGAAGCCAGGCCTGGAGTGTCCACCAGCAGCTCAGTGGCCAAGGCTGTGGAGCTGGGTTCCCACATAACATGTGATGGAGGAGGTGGGGGTGGGCAGGCTGACAGCCTGTGCTCCCCCTCCTGGGAGGGTGCAGGGCGGCTACAGGGGCGTTTGCCCCCCTCCCTGCTCCTGGGTTGGAGTCTGGCCTTAAAGACCTTGCTCTGGGGACAAGTGTGAGATGGGAGTGCACAGCCCAGGGCCCTCTGCCCTACCCCACTTCCTCTCTTTCCCCTTCTTCCCCTTCCTGTCTTTCTTCCCCTGCCGGGTTCCCCCACGAACAGTCCCTCCCACGAACCTGCTGTCCCTGATCCTGCCCTTCCTTTCTGTGTCTTCTGTTTTTGTCTCTCTCCAGGAAGGATGGAAGAAGCTTGTGCTGGTGTGAATGTGTATGGGTTACAGCTGTGTTTTCCATATTGTTTAAAA
Source organism: Homo sapiens (assembly GCF_000001405.40). NCBI lineage: Eukaryota > Metazoa > Chordata > Mammalia > Primates > Hominidae > Homo > Homo sapiens. The sequence continues at coordinate 150,003 of NW_025791815.1, read as the reverse complement.
TGAAATAAAACCATGTTTTGATTCTATTAAAAATAGAGAAGCTGGCTGGGTGTGGTGGCTGGTGCCTGTAATCCTAGCACTTTGGGAGGCTAAGGTGGGCAGATCACCTGAGGTCAGGAGTTCGAGACCAGCCTGCCCAACATGGTGAAACCCCCATCTCTACTAAAAATACAAAAATTAGCCAGACATGGTGGTACGCACCTGTAATCTCAGCTACTCGGGAGGCTGAGGCAGGAGAACTGCTTGAACCTGGGAGGTGGAGGTTGCAATGAGCTAAGATCGTGCCACTGCACTCCAGCCTGGGCGACAGAGCAAGACTCTGTCCCAAGAAAGAGATAAAAATAGAGAAGCTTAGATGAACAGGCTTGTTAATAACGATTCCTTCTGTGGCCACTGCCAGCTTTCCGCAGGCGAACGCTCCCAGGCTGCCGGGACGGTCGGGAGCCAGAGGTCCCTGTTCAGAGAGGACGATGCAGTGGGACATGGGACAGGGGCGTGTTGGGGAGAGGGGTCCCACCAGGCAGTGTTGGGGCAGGAAGCCGTCAGCAGCCATCACCTCGGGCGGGCTGTGTCTGCCGCAGCGGCAGCATTGCTAACACCTGGTGGGGCGCACGCCCGCCTGTCCGCAGGTCACGAACGAGATCACGCCGGTGCTGTCGTACTCCTACCTGGCCGTGCTGGTGCCCGTGTTCCTGCTCACCGACTACCTGCGCTACACGCCGGTGCTGCTGCTGCAGGGGCTCAGCTTCGTGTCGGTGTGGCTGCTGCTGCTGCTGGGCCACTCGGTGGCGCACATGCAGCTCATGGAGCTCTTCTACAGCGTCACCATGGCCGCGCGCATCGCCTATTCCTCCTACATCTTCTCTCTCGTGCGGCCCGCGCGCTACCAGCGTGTGGCCGGCTACTCGCGCGCTGCGGTGCTGCTGGGCGTGTTCACCAGCTCCGTGCTGGGCCAGCTGCTGGTCACTGTGGGCCGAGTCTCCTTCTCCACGCTCAACTACATCTCGCTGGCCTTCCTCACCTTCAGCGTGGTCCTCGCCCTCTTCCTGAAGCGCCCCAAGCGCAGCCTCTTCTTCAACCGCGACGACCGGGGGCGGTGCGAAACCTCGGCTTCGGAGCTGGAGCGCATGAATCCTGGCCCAGGCGGGAAGCTGGGACACGCCCTGCGGGTGGCCTGTGGGGACTCAGTGCTGGCGCGGATGCTGCGGGAGCTGGGGGACAGCCTGCGGCGGCCGCAGCTGCGCCTGTGGTCCCTCTGGTGGGTCTTCAACTCGGCCGGCTACTACCTGGTGGTCTACTACGTGCACATCCTGTGGAACGAGGTGGACCCCACCACCAACAGTGCGCGGGTCTACAACGGCGCGGCAGATGCTGCCTCCACGCTGCTGGGTACGCATGCCCTGGTCCCCGAGGCTTCTTCCCGCAGAGGCTTCCCGTCCACCTCCGCCTGCCCCGTGGATCCTTCCCCCGGAGGCTCCCTCTCCCGCCCCCTGCCCCATGGATACCTTCCCCCAGAGGCTCTCCGCCACCTCCCCCTGCCCCGTGGATCCTTCCCCCGGAGGCTCCCCCTCCCCGCCCCCTGCCCCGTGGATCCTTCCCCCGGAGGCTCCCCCTCCCCGCCCCCTGCCCCGTGGATCCTTCCCCCGGAGGCTCCCTGCCACCTCCCCCTGCCCCGTGGATCCTTCCCCGGAGGCTCCCCGTCCCCGCCCCCTGCCCCGTGGATACCTTTCCTCAGAAGCTCCCGCTACCTCCCCCTGCCCCGTGGCCCCCCAGGGCCGCTGCAACGCCCCATCCCTCCCCTCTCAGGCGCCATCACGTCCTTCGCCGCGGGCTTCGTGAAGATCCGCTGGGCGCGCTGGTCCAAGCTGCTCATCGCGGGCGTCACGGCCACGCAGGCGGGGCTGGTCTTCCTTCTGGCGCACACGCGCCACCCGAGCAGCATCTGGCTGTGCTATGCGGCCTTCGTGCTGTTCCGCGGCTCCTACCAGTTCCTCGTGCCCATCGCCACGTGAGTTCCAGAAGGGTGGGAAGCCGGGGGCGGGCAGGCGCCAGGATCAAGCCCCGCGCTTCGCTGGGTGCTCCCACCTTCCTGCTGCGCCCCAGCGGCTGTGCCACTGCTGGCCCCGCCAGCCACCTGGAGCTGACCAGGGTCCCCACTTGCCTCTCCCTGGGACCTCGGGCGTCCCTTCCTGTGCCGTCTTGCTGCTCCCCCAGGCCCTCCACGCTCCTCTCTGAAGCCTGCTGGGCTCACAGCCTTGCCCTGCTCCCAACCCCACCCTCTAGGCCCCGGGCTGCTGAGACCCCATCCAGGCAGGAGCGGGAGCTTGCACCTGTGTGAGTTCATCCTCAGCTTACACTCACACCAGGCACTCACACCACACACACACCACACGCTCACACATGGACACACACACACTCATGAACACACCACATGCGCACAGATGGACACTCACCACACACTCATGAACACATACCACACGTGCACACATGGACAAACACACCACACTCACACATGGATATATCGCACATGAACACACCACACACACGGACACACACCATGTTCACACATGGATATATCACACATGGACACCCACTACACATGGACGCACCACACACACACGGACACACAATGCACACTCACATGAACACACCACACGCTCACAGATGGATACACCACACAGACACACCACACACGAACACACACCACATGCTCACAGATGGACACCCACTACACTCACATGAATGCATCACATACTTACACATGGACACACACCACACACACGGACACCCACCACACTCACATGAACACACTACATGCTTACCCATGGACACACACTACACACGGACACACACACACTCACAGGGACACACCACATGTTCACAGACACCCACCACACTCACATGAATGCACCATATGCTTACACATGGACACACACCACACAGACACACCACACACTCACATGGACACACCACACACTCACAGATGGATACACCACACTCACATGAACACACCACATGCTTACACATGGACACAGCACACATGGACATGCTACACGCTCAGATGGACACACACCACACGGACACACAACACATGCTCACACATGGACACACACCACACGTTCACACATGGACACACCACACGTTTACACATGGACACGTTCACACATGGACACACGCTCACACATGGAGACACCCACACATTGACACACTCCCACCACATACTCAGACCACACACACTGACACACTCAGACACTGACCCTGTGTGCTCACAGGGTCCTGCTCCCTGGACCTGCCCCCTCTTTCCTGCCCGCTGGGAGGACTTTGGCCCCAGCTCAGTACCCCTTCCTGGGCTTCCCCTCCAGGGTGGCCTCCGAGCCCTATCTCCCTCCCTCCGTGGGTCATCCCCCTGGGCCTTATGCTGGTCACGAGCCTGTTTGAGCTGAGAGCACCCTCCTGACCCTTGCATTGGGCCCTCTGTGTCAGTGGCCTCACCCCTGCAGCATCCTGCCTGGATGTGCCCGGCCCTGTACTTCCCCATCCTCCCCACATGCAGGCAGCAGTCTCCCGGCATGGGCAGCCCGGCCCACCCTTCTCTCCCGCCCCTGCCATACTCGGGGCCCCTTCTGCTCCTGTGTGGCCGCCTTCTCCAGGCTCCCCGAGGCCCACACTGGGCTCTTGCCGTCCCTGGCTCGTGAAGGCCCAGCGTGATCTTGCTTGGGCCCCCCCACTGACCTGCCAGCACTGTGGAAAGGGCCAGGGCCTCTGCCATTGTGCTGTCCCATTGCTGCAGCCAGGGGGACAACGCCTGAAAGGTTTTAGTTATAAAGTCATTGATGCCCATCGCAAAAAAATCCAACACGGTGCCGCAGCGTGCAAAGCAGAAAACTGCTGTTTGCTACGGGGAATCCCAGCATTTTCTGCTTGTCTGTGTTGGGTTGATGCCAGACACAGATGCAGATGGTCACTCACAGATGCAGGTGGTCACTCCCGGTCATGAGTGGTGGGCCTTACAACCCATCCCCAGTCTATGGGTAAAGTCACCATTTCCATTTTTCTTACACGAGGAAAACACTGAGATGAATGCCCTTCTACCTACATTTTTGTTTCCAAATTCTAATAATGACCCTCAGGTGGATTCCTGGAAGGGGAATGGCCAGGTTGGAGAGTATGTGCTTTTGAAAGCAGGTTTCTGTCAATATTGCAGGTACCCTGCAGGCCGGCATGCGGGCTTCCTCCCCGTCAGGATGGTGGAGTGGCCTCCCCACCCTCCCTGAGCCCCTGACGGGCCGGCTGGGCTCCCAGCCTTTCCTTAACCAGAGTGAGGCCGGCCGGCCTGCTGTGGACTGAGTGGCCCCTGTGTGTCTCCTGACTCTGTTGGGACTCGCTTTCCTCCCTGCTGATCTGGGGAGCATTCATCTGTATCATGTATTTTCAATCACCTGTGCCCCCATCACGCCCCACACTCGTCTGCCTTTAATTCAACTCACAGTGTTTCTGAGTGTCCTTGGAAGCACCCTGGGGGCTGGCCTGGGCTCTGCCCTGCCCAGCGCTGGCATCCAGAAGCTCGTGTTTGTGCTCAGTTCTCCCTGTTGTTCGTCTGCCCTTCATCCCACTGACCTGCTCACCGGGACCTCTGTGTGCTTCTCTCGTCCTCCCTGCTGCCGGCCTGCCTGCCTGCCCCCGAGCCTCCACTGTCCCCACTGTCCCCCCGTCTCCAGTGCCCAGCAGCACAGACACCTCTGCCCTTCTCCAAAGGGTTCCTGGGCATTTTTGTTTATTTTTTCTTCAGGTGAACTTTAGGACATTTTTTGTCCAGTTCTTTTTTTTTTTTTTTTTTAAGCACTTTGCAGATTTTAATTGGAACTGCATCGGAAGACTAGTTTCTTTGCAGAGCACCAGAAGCCTGGCGTGTCACCTCTCCATGTCAGGAATGTGGTGCCTTCATTCCTGGACATGTTCATGCCACCGCTCACCTCCAGGGCCCGCCCTGCCTGGCTGCCACTCACCTCCAGGGCCCACCCTGCCCTGCTGCCACTCACCTCCAGGGCCCGCAGTAACTGACTGCCACTCACCTCCAGGGCCCGCCCTGCCTGGCTGCCACTCACCTCCAGGGCCCGCAGTAACTGACTGCCACTCACCTCCAGGGCCCGCCCTGCCTGGCTGCCACTCACCTCCAGGGCCCACCCTGCCCTGCTGCCACTCACCTCCAGGGCCTGCAGTAACTGGCTGCCACTCACCTCCAGGGCCCGCCCTGCCCGGCTGCCACTCACCTCCAGGGCCCGCAGTAACTGACTGCCACTCACCTCCAGGGCCCGCCCTGCCTGGCTGCCACTCACCTCCAGGGCCCACCCTGCCCGCTGCCACTCACCTCCAGGGCCCGTCCTAACCTGCTGCCACTCACCTCCAGGGCCTGCCCTGCCTGGCTGCCTCTCACCTCCTGGGCCCACCCTGCCCGCTGCCACTCACCTCCAGGGCCTGCCCGGGCATACCCAGCTGCTATTCACCTCCAGGGCCTGCCCCGCCTCCAGGCCCCCCTCCCCCCCAATTGCCACTCACCTCCAGGGCCCTCCCGGGCATACCCAGCTGCTACTCACCTCCAGGGCCCGCTCTGCCCAGCTGCCACTCAACTCCAGGGCCTGCCCTGCCTGGCTGCTGCTCATTCACCGACTCTGTGGTTTCACTGCTCTTCTAATTTATCAAACATTTAACCGTGAAAGACTTTCATTCTAGACTTTTCTGTCTGTGCCCAGAGGTTCTCTTGATGATGATTTTCTGAATGTTTTGAGACGCCCGTGACCTGGTCTGTCCCAGAGCTCATGGGAGCCCTTCCAGGTATCTTCTCGAGTTTGTGTTTTGTGACACCCATTGTATAGGTTCAGCATCCCTAATCAAAACAGCCAGAATTCAGCTGGGCGCAGTGGCTCACACCTGTGATCCCAGCACTTTGGGAGGCTGAGGTGGGTGGATCACCTGAGGCCAGGAGCTCGAGACCAGCCTGGCCAACATGGTGAAACTCTGTCTCTACTAAAAATACAAAAATTAGCTGGGCATGATGGCGCGTGCCTGTAATCCCAGCTACTCGAAAGGCTGAGACAGGAGAATTGCTTGAACCCAGGAGGCAGAGGTTGCAGTGAGCTGAGATTGTGCCATTGCACGCCTGGGCAACAGAGCGAGACTCCATCTAAAAAAAAATAACAAAAAATCCAGAATTTGAAATACTCCAAAATCTGACAGTTTTTGAGCACCGGAAAGACAACCCGGTGGAAAATCCTGTACCTGACCTTGTTTGACGAGTCTCAGAACACGGTCAAAAGTTTCTTCATGCACAAAATTACTCCAGAACTCAGGGTGAGGCCCTGGGCAGTAGCAGGCAACCCCTTTGGCTTGCAAATGTTTGTCAGGTATTATATAAAATCACCTTCTGGCTGTGTGTGTACAGTGCATATGAGCATAAATGCATTTCGTGTTTAGACTTGGGTTCCATCCTCAAGACATCTCATTATGGACATGTGAATATTCCCAAATCCAAAACTACTGGCCCCAGGCATTTTGGATAAGGGACCCTCACTCTGTACTGAGCCAGGGGGACACGGCAGCTCCCAGAATGGCCCCTCGAGGGTGGCCTGGGTGCTGGCTCCTGCCTGGCAGGGGCGGGCATGTGTGGGAGAGATGGGGGCCTGGTGGGGGGCTTGTGCGTGCCCTGGGACCCCGTGGCTGCCGGGCGGGTCATGGGCTGGTGGGAGCCGGGCTGCAGGCTTTTCCCTGTGGCTGCTGCTTATTCTCCCAGCAGCGCCTGATCTGCCCGCTCTTCCCGTTCAGCTTTCAGATTGCATCTTCTCTGTCTAAAGAGCTCTGTGCCCTGGTCTTCGGGGTCAACACGTTCTTTGCCACCATCGTCAAGACCATCATCACTTTCATTGTCTCGGACGTGCGGGGCCTGGGCCTCCCGGTCCGCAAGCAGGTGAGCCCATTTCAGGCCTGCGTCCTCGGGGATGGAAGCTACTTGTGGGGACATTGTTGAGGCCTCCTGGTGCCCGCCTGATGTGGAGCCCACTGTGGGCTGGGGGCACAGGGTGCGGGCCTGGGGCTTCCAGTGGGACACACCAGGCCAGCGAGAGCAGGAAGTGAGAGAGACCCTAGCGGGGCTCAGTTGTTGTGGGCGGGAGCCTCCGTCAGGCCCTGGGCCTCAGTGGGAGCAGCTGAGCCTCTGCTCGCCACGGCGGAGCTGTCCTTGTCTCCGCTCTCTGCCTGTGGCTGCCGGAACTTGGTGTCCTTGAGCCCTGGCTGGAGGCCACGTGACCTTTGTCCTCTTCAGGAAGGAGAGCTGAGCAGAGCCACTCAGCAGTGTCAGTGCGCAGGCCTCTGCGGGTGCCCTCCCCTTTCCCACCTCTCGCGGGCCTCTGCTGCTTCTGAGAAGAGCTGGAAAACACACATTTAACTCCTGAGGGTCCCAGCCAAGGCCGGGTCTCCGAGTGAGCTGGAATCAGCCATGGTGGGCGTGGTGTGAGAGGTCCTTCCAGGCTCCTCAGGACTGCCCCAGCCTGCAGCTAGACAGATGCCCTTGGCGGGTGGGACAAGGGCTTTGTCCACCTGGGGCCCAGGTCTCACTGGGCAGGAGGACTGTCAGGGTTAGTCCTGATCCTCTGAGGGTGCGGAGTCTGTTCAGCTTCAGTGACTCCAGAGCTCAGGGTAAGGCCCGGGCAATAGCAGGCATCCCCTTCGGCTCACAAATGCCTGTTAGGTGAGGATGGCTGTTGCTCACTCATCGAAATGCATTCTTCAGCCCAAGAGTGTCATTAGGGCCTGTCCACGCTGGCAGGCCACGTGGCCCTGTGCCACAGAGCCCTCTGGGTACAACACCCCCGACCCAGGTGTGAACACTCAGGGCGGGTGAGTCTCCAAGGCCCAGGGGTGAACGCTTAGGGTGGGTGAGCCTCCGAGGCCCAGGTGTGAACACTCAGGGCAGGTGAGCCTCCAAGGCCCAGGCGTGAACACTCAGGGTGATGAGCCTCCAAGGCCCAGGGGTGAACGCTTAGGGCAGGTGAGTCTCCGAGGCCCAGGGGTGAACACTCAGGGCGGGTGAGCCTCCGAAGCCCAGGGGTGAACGTTCAGGGCAGGTGAGTCTCCGAGGCCCGGGGGTGAACGCTCAGGACAGGTGAGCCTCCAAGGCCCAGGGGTGAACGCTCAGGGTGGGTGAGCCTCTGAGGCCCAGGTGTGAACACTCAGGGCGGGTGAGCCTCCGAGGCCCAGGTGTGAACACTCAGGGCAGGTGAGCCTCCAAGGCCCAGGCGTGAACACTCAGGGTGATGAGCCTCCAAGGCCCAGGGGTGAACGCTTAGGGCAGGTGAGTCTCCGAGGCCCAGGGGTGAACACTCAGGGCGGGTGAGCCTCCGAAGCCCAGGGGTGAACGTTCAGGGCAGGTGAGTCTCCGAGGCCCGGGGGTGAACGCTCAGGACAGGTGAGCCTCCAAGGCCCAGGGGTGAACGCTCAGGGTGGGTGAGCCTCTGAGGCCCAGGTGTGAACACTCAGGGCGGGTGAGCCTCCGAGGCCCAGGTGTGAACACTCAGGGCAGGTGAGCCTCCAAGGCCCAGGCGTGAACACTCAGGGTGATGAGCCTCCAAGGCCCAGGGGTGAACGCTTAGGGCAGGTGAGTCTCCGAGGCCCAGGGGTGAACGCTCAGGGCGGGTGAGCCTCCGAAGCCCAGGGGTGAACGCTCAGGACAGGTGAGTCTCCAAGGCCCACGGGTGAATGTGTCCAGGCCCGGCCTGGGTGGACACAGCCTCCTGGTGGCCGGGCTGGTCTCAGGTCTGCAGAAAGGGGGCCCAGAAGGCTTCTGTTGAATGCATGGCCCCAGGGCGGGGTGCTGGCAGCAGTCCAGCTGGCTTTGGAGGGGCTCCAGCACCCGGGAGGAGGTCCTCCCCATTCTTGGAGCCCCGAGTTACCTCTGTCCCCAGACAGCAGTGGCTGCCAGCATGTATGGGCAGGGAGTGCCCGTCCCAGGGAGACCCTCAGGGCCCTGTGTGGCCCCAGCCAGGCTGGAACTGGCTTCTGACCTGCCTCTGGGTGCTGACTGCCCCTGACTACCGTTGCCGCCCCACCTCCATCCCTCTGTGACTGCCTCTTGTTCAGCCCTTGGCAGCTGGAGGGGCAGATGCCTGAGGGCTCTTTAGGGACTCTGTGCGTGTGCTCCCCTGTAGCTGCCCTGTGGAGGGGACCCCTCACGGTGGGCTTCTAAGGGCCCATGGGGGCTTGGTGCAGGGGGTGGAGCAGTTCTTCCCCAGAGAGCTGGTCACGAGGAAGCCCTTTCCCTTCCTTAGCTGGTCCTGGTCCTGGTGTGGCCGTGGAGGCTGTGGGGGAGACAGCTCTGGGGAGGTGGAGGCAGGTTCTGGCCTGTGGTTCCTGGCTGCCTCTTGTCACATAGAAAAAAAACACATGGACTTTTCTCTGGCTGGTTTGATTTCTAGGTTAAAAAGTTAACTAGTGGGGCATTTTGCTCATGGCTGGACATCCTGTTGGGTCTAGAGGAGGTGGTGCGGGCTCATCTTGCCCCCGTGCCTGTTACTGGGTGCCGAGTGTCCACTCTCTTTCCTCCAGCATGGGGAGAACAGCTGGGCCAGGAGTTCAGGCTTGGTCGGGGGTAGAGTCTGGAGACGGGAGGGAGCCGTGATGGAGCATGGGGGGACAGACAGGGCTAGAGCTTGCCTGGGTTTGCCTGCTTTTTAAATTAAGCTTTATATTTGGGTAATCTTATATTCACATGCTGTTTAATAAATAATACAGGGAGATCCATGTACCCCGTACCCAGTTTTCACAGTGGTCACGTCTTACAGTTCTGTAGCACATCACAACCAGCATGGCGACAGTCAGGATCCAGAACATTCTATCCCCACAGGGATCCCTCATGCTGCTCTTTATAGCCAAGGCCCACCCTACTCCCAGCCTCACGTCCTCTTTAACCCCTGGCAGCCACTACCCTCTTCTCCGCTTGTATGAGTTTGTCATTTCAGGAGTGTTGTATAAACACGGCTATGCATTGTGTATCGTTTAGGGATTGGCTCTTTTCACTCAACACTGTTCTCTGAACATTCATCCATGTTGTTACTGTGGCTGTGGCTGATTCCTTCTTGCTGCTGAGTGCTGTTCCAGGGTGTAGGTACAGCACACTTTATTTATTCACCGTTGAAAGACTTGTTTCCAGTGTGAGGTATTACCAATAAAGCTGCTATGGACATTCTTTTATAGGTTTTTGTGTGAATATAGGTTTTCCTTTCCCTGGGACAGACGCCCAGAAGTGCAAGTGCTGGGTCACCAGGTAGTTGCTTGTTTCTTTCCAGGAAAGAAGCAGGGAAGCAGCCCACTTTCCATAGCAGTCGTACCGTTTTATATCACCACCAGCAGACTTTGAGAGATCCAGTCACAGCGTCTTTGGTATGCCGTGTTGCCACTAGTTTTTATTTTGGCCGTTGTGATAGGTGTAGTGATATTTCATTGTGGTTTTAATTTGCATTTCCCTGGGGCATAATATTGTTTTAATTTGCATTTCCCTGGTGGATAATGATGTTGAACATCTTTTTATGTCCTTATTTTCCATTTGCAAAATCTTCACATCTTCTGCCCATTTTCTCATTGGATTGTTCATTTTTATACTCTTGAGTTTTAAGCATGGTTTGTGTATTCCAGATATTAGTCCTTTGTTGGATATATACAGTTTGCAATTTTTTTTTCAACTCTGTAGCTGGTTGTTTCATCTACTTAATGTGGTCTTTTACAGAACAAGTGTTTTTTAACTCCCATGAGCTCTGATTTAACAGTTTTTCCTTTTATGGAAACTCTTTGCCTAGCCCTAAATTCAGAAGATTTTCCTCAAATTTCTTTTTTAAAGTTTCGTGTTTTTACATTTAAGTCTCTGACCAGCTTTAATTTTTGTATAAGATGTGAAGTTTAGGTTGAGGTCACTTTTTTTTTGGCCTGTGCGTATCCATTTATTCCAGCATCATTTGTTGAAAAGACTTAGCTCTCCCCATTGAATTACTTTTGCACCTTTGTCAAAAGTTGGGCATATTTATGTGAGTCTGTTTCTGGGTTTTTTATCCTGTTCCATTGAACTATGTGTTTACTCTTGTACCAATATCACACTGTCTTGGTTATGAAGCTTTACAGCAAGTTTTGAAAGTGGATAGACTTGATTCCTCCAACTTCTTTTTATTCAAAATTGTTTTGACTATTATAGTTTCTTTGCCTTTCCGTATACATTTTAGAGTAATCTTGTCTATATCTACAAAAATTCCTGCTCAGATTTTGTTAGGAATTGCAATTAAGCCAGTGTATCAATTTTGGGAGAATTGACGTGTTTACTGTGTTGTTTTCCAATCCATGAACATGGTATATCTTTCCATTTATTTAGATCTTTGATTTCTTTCAGCATTTTGTAGTTTTCAGCATATGAGTACTATACATGTTTTTAGTTTATGCTTTTTCTTAAGTAAATCAAACCATATTTTGAAATTTGTTATCTGCATTAGTCTGTTTGGGCTGCCATAGCAAAATATCACAAACTGGGTGACAAACAACAGAAATATATTCTCTCACAGTTCCGGAGGCTTGAAGTCTGAGATTAAGGTGTTGGCAGGTTGGTTTCTCCTGATGCCTCTCTTCTTGGCTTGCAGTTGGCATCTTCTCCCTTTGTCTTCATATGGTCTTTTTTTTCTGTGTATGGTCCTCCCTGGTATCTTTTTTTCGTTTGTTTTTTTTTTTTTTGAGATGGAGTTTCGCTCTTGTTGCCCAGGCTGGAGTGCAATGGCGCAATCTCAGCTCACCGCAACCTCCTCCTCCTGGGTTCAAGCAATTCTCCTGTCTCAGCCTCCCAAGTAGCTGGGATTACAGGCATGTGCCACCATGCCTGGCTAATTTCATGTTTTTAGTAGAGACGGGGTTTCTCCATGTTGGCCAGGCTAGTCTTGAACTCTGGACCTCAGGTGATCCACCCGCCTCAGCCTCCCAAAGTGCTGGGGTTACAGGCATGAGCCACCATGCCCGGCTAGTGTCTGTCTTCTTATAAGGACATCCAGTCAGGTTGGAGTAAGATGCCATCCTTGTGACCTCATTTAACCGTAATTACCTTTTGAAAGGCCCTGTCTTCAAATGCAGTGACATTGTGGGTTAGGGCTTCAACATATGAATTGGGTGATGGGTTCACAATTCATTCCATAACAGTGTATACATGTTCGTTGCTAGTGTATAGAAATGTAGTTGATATATTTGTGTGTTTATCTTGTATACTGCAATTTTGCTGAGATTACTTATTTGTTGTAGGAGGCTTTTCCATTTTTTGGCCTTTGTTTTTTAAATTCCTTGAGATTTTCTACGTAGATAATTATGTCATCTGCAAATATTTCTTCCTTTCTGATCTGTATATCTTTTATTTCTTTTTCTTGACTTAGTGCACTGGCTGGAACTTTATTAATTCCTTCTTTCTGCTTGCTTTAGATTTATTTTGCTCTTCTTTTTTCTAGGTTCTTGAGGTGAGATATTGATTTGAGACTTTTCCTCTTTTCTAATTTATGCATCTAATGCTATAAATTTCCCCACTCAGTACTGCTTTAGTTGCATCCCACAAATCTTAATAGGCTGTGTTTTCATTTTCATTCATTTCAGTGTGTTTTTTGATGCATCATTATTTCAAATTTTGTTGTTTAATTTCCAAGTGTTTTGAGATTTTCCTGTTATCTTTCTGTTATTAATTTCTTTTTTGATTCTGTTGTGATTGGAAAACACATTATTATTTCAGTCCTTATAAATTTGTTAAGATTTGTCTTATGACCCAGAATATTATCTGTTTTGATATACTGTGGACACTTTGAAAGAATGTATATTCTGCTTTTGGGTGGAGTGTTCTGTAAATGCTGATCAGATCCTGTTGGCTGATGGTATTGATTTCCTCTCAGTTCTTGTGGATTTTCTGTCTAGTTTTATTATTGAGAGGGGGTATTGAAGTCTCCTAAGTATAATTGTGGATCTGTTTCTCCTTTCAGTTCTGTTGTGTTTTTGCTTCACATATTGGCAGCTCTTTTGTTTGTTGCATACACGTTAGGGATTGAAATTTGTTTTGGTGGACTGACCCTCTTGTCAATTGTGTAATAGTGGGATTATATAATGTCCTTCTCTGTCTCTGCTGTCCCTGGTCTTTTTTTTTTTTTTTTTTTTTTTTGCTCAGAAGTTTATTTTACCTGATGTTAATATAGCCACCCCTGCTTTCCTTTGATTAATGTTCACATGATACATCTTTTTCCATCGTTTTACTTTCAACCTTCCTATCTTGGTATATTTGAAGTGAGTTTCTTGTAGACAGCACGTAGTTGAGTCATGTTTTTAAATCGACTTTGCTAATCTCTGTCTTACAGTTGGTGTATTTAGACCATTTATATTTAATGTGATAATTTGTATATTAGGGCCTAAGTCTGCCATTTCGTTTTTAATTTTTCATTTATTCTCTGTTTTTAGTTTCTGTTTACATTTTTTGCAGCTTCCAGTGGGTTACTTGTACATCCTTTAGAATTTTGTTTGGTTTATCTATTGTGTTTTTGAATGTACTTAGTATAGCTTTTTTGGTTGCTTTATGGATTACATTAATACATAAAGTTTGAGTGAAGTATAAAAACGTTGCCTTTATGTCACTGTCATCTCCCGCTTACAGTACAATTATCTTAAATATTTTCTCTACATACCTTTAGTGCTACATAAGAAAATATTGTAATTTTTGCATTAATCATCAAACATATTTTAGGAAACTAAAGAAGGAAAGTCTGTTTTATTTACCCATAATGTTGCCTACTGTGGTATTTCCTCTTTCCTGTTATTTCAAGATTCCTTCTTTAGTAATTTCCTTTCTGTTTAGAGAACTTGTTTTTTGTTTGTTTTTTGCCATTATTTTAGACAGATCTGCTGGTTACAAATTTCTTCTCTTAGTTTTTCTTCATCTGTGAGTGTCTTGATTGCTCTTTTATTCTCAAAGGATGTTTTCACTGGATATAGGATGCTGGGTAGACAGTGTTCTTTTTTTTTAGCCTGTGAGAAATGTGGTGCCCCTTCCTCATAGCTTTCAGGATTTTTGATGAGCAATTACTGTTATTCAAATTGCTTGCCCGTAAAGTGTCATTTTTCTCTGGCCACTTCCAAGATTTTTTCTTTATTTTTATCGTTAGCTTATAGAAGTTTGAATATGGTATGTGTTGGTGTGATTTTGTTTGGGTTTTCTATTTGGGGTTTGCTCAGCTTCATGAATCTGCAGTGTACATCTCACCAAATTTAGGAAGTTTTCAACCATTATTTCCTGAAATGCTTTTTGAACCCCACTCCTTTTCTCCTCTTTTTCTAGATCCCCCATGTCACAAATGTTAGATCATGTTGTATAGTCCCACAAGGAATGAGGCTTTGTTCATTTTTTTTCAGTCCATTTTTTCTTTTGTTCAGGTTGGATAATTTCTATTGTTCTACCTCCAGTTCATTGATCATTTCTCTGCCTCTTCTATTTTGTTGTTGAGATGATTCATTAAGTTTTTAAATTCTGATTATTGTACATTTCAGTTCTAAATTTTTTTTATTTCTCCTATTTCTTTGCTGAGACTGTGTTTTTTCATTTGTTTCCAGCATGTTTGTTATTGTTCACTGAAGCATTTTTATGGTGGCTGCTTTAAGATCTTTCTTGGCGAATTCTACTGTCTGTGTTGTCTTAGTGTTGGTGTCTATTAATTGTTTTTCAGTTTGAGATCTTTGTGGTTTAGTGTGCCAAGGGATTTTTTAGTGAGATGCAAGCATTTTGGGTATGATGTAATTTCAGCATCCTGTTGTGGCTGACGCAACTCCTGCAGGTCAAGCGGGGTGTGCACCTCGCTACAGGCAGGTGGGGTGGAAGTCCAGGCTCTCACTCAGCCTTTGTGACACCTGAGGGAGGGTGGGTGGCTGGGTGGGGGCTCCTTCTTGTTGCCAGGCAAGGATGGGAGTCCAGCTCCCCTCGTGGCCCCCTTGATGCCCCTGGGGTTGGGACATTCTCATTATTGCTGGGTAGGTGAAAGTCTGGACTCCCGCTTGACCTCCTCTGACACCCCCCAGCATGGAGGGGGACAGGACAGGCACGCTCTTACTACTGGGTGAGGATAAGAGGCCAGGCTCCCCATATGGTCTCTGCTGACTCCGTGAGGCTTCGGGGGTGACTAGGCTCCCCACATGGTCTCCACTGACTCCATGAGGCTTTGGGGGTGACATCTTGGGCTTCCCTGTGGTCTCTGCTGACTCCTTGGGGGTGAGGGTGGGTGTCTTTACCAACCAGTGGGAGTGAAAGCTCTAGTGCCCACTGGTGTTGTCTGACACCACCCCGCAGGGGACTCGGGGGTCCTTGTTACAGGCTGGCGAGGGTGGGGGGTCCTTGCTGACATGGTGGGTGGAGCCGAGGTCTGGTGTTTGCGGGGAGCAGGGCGATTCCTGTCGAAAGGTCTTTCCTCATGTTGGGCTGACCCTTCCCTGGGTCTTAGGCCAGAGAGAGCTGCTTCCATGGGCTCTTTTTTCTGCATCTGTTGTCTTTTCCAGCCTGCTGCCTTCTTCAGTTTCAAAATATCTGAGGTGAAAAGAAAAGCCCCCAGGGAGCTCTGCGTGGCACAGTCTGTCCTTGCGTGGCACAGCTCCCCAGACCCCGAGGGCCCGGCCAGTCTGCCCTTGTGTGGCACAGCTCCCCAGACCCCGAGGGCCTGGTCAGTCTGTCCTCCTCGCTCCTGCTTTCAGAGTCTTCCCAGGTGTTTATCTCAGTGTCTTGGGTAGGAGAAGAGCAGGGAGAAGCGTGTCAGCCCCATCTTCCTCAGTTTGCTTTAAAAACAGCTGTCCTGGAAGGGTGCCGGTGCCGATGGGCTGCAGGGATTCTGGCCTGCGGATGTGGAGCTGGGGCCTCAGGGGTCTTGGGCGGGACTCACTGGGCTCTGCCCACGGATGTCCTGAGGGCACTGCAGCCTCCTGAACCCTCTGCACCTCCGGGAATGATCAGGTCCCTCCCTGGTGTCCCAGGGACATCTCCAGTCCCTCCTGCCCCTGGCAGCTGCGAGAATCAGGAGAGATGTGGCCAACGCTGGTGCTGCTCCTTCTGGTCATCGTAGCACAGCTTCCGCTGCCGAGATGGAGACGGGCTCCATGTGCAGGCTGCTGGGGGTTGCTCTGGGCGCGAAGCCCTGGGGATCAGCTCCTGGTCACCTGCTGTGGCTCTCCTCACCCTGCTCTGCCAGGCGGGACGTTCTGGCCCTCATGGGCACCCTTCCGCTGTCTCAGCACCATGGGGGGGCAGCAAGCACCACCAAGCAGGGGACTCGGGAGCAGACACCGCAGGCCACGCAGAAGCAGGCCACCTGCCAGGTTCCGAGGGGTTCTTGGGAAATGGTGGGAACCCCCCTTCAGGCCTGTGCCAGGTGGTGGAGGTCGGGGGGGCTGTGGTGAGCACTGTGGCACCTGCTCCTGGGGCTGGCCTCTGACCGCTGTGCAGTGTTCAGGGTCAGCCTCTGAGCTGGAGGAGGGTGAGCCTGGGAGCAGGCGTCGGGGTGTAGGGTGCCAGTGTCCCAGCCAGGCCCTCCCCACCCGCCTCACCCGGCCTCTCTTTCCAGTTCCAGTTATACTCCGTGTACTTCCTGATCCTGTCCATCATCTACTTCTTGGGGGCCATGCTGGATGGCCTGCGGCACTGCCAGCGGGGCCACCACCCGCGGCAGCCCCCGGCCCAGGGCCTGAGGAGTGCCGCGGAGGAGAAGGCAGCACAGGCACTGAGCGTGCAGGACAAGGGCCTCGGAGGCCTGCAGCCAGCCCAGAGCCCGCCGCTTTCCCCAGAAGACAGCCTGGGGGCTGTGGGGCCAGCCTCCCTGGAGCAGAGACAGAGCGACCCATACCTGGCCCAGGCCCCGGCCCCGCAGGCAGCTGAATTCCTGAGCCCAGTGACAACCCCTTCCCCCTGCACTCTGTGCTCCGCCCAAGCCTCAGGCCCTGAGGCTGCAGATGAGACTTGTCCCCAGCTGGCTGTCCATCCTCCTGGTGTCAGCAAGCTGGGTTTGCAGTGTCTTCCAAGCGACGGTGTTCAGAATGTGAACCAGTGACTCTCGGGCGCCCCTGTGGTAACTTTGCAGGCGGCCCTCAGTGCATCCCCACGACCCCTGCCTCGAGGGCCGCCTGCCTTAGCAATGGGGGCCTCCGCTTATCCTGCTAGCAGGCCCCCTAGGATTCCCCCTGCCCTGTGCCGCACTCTGGCGGTGGCCACAGCGTGCTGGCGACACTCAGGGCAGCTGCCTGGCCATGCTGTCCCTGCACTGTGCCCCGCGGGCTTTGTTGCTGGAAGAGGTGGGTGGTGGGCTTCTGCGTCCACCAGGCCTCACTGGCTCATGCCCCTTGGGGGGCTTGAGACAAATCCTTTCTGCCCCCCAGGGCTAGTGAAGTGGCCTCTTGGATACCAGCTCAGGGGACACTGGCCCCACAGGAGTTGTGAGCCCTCTAGGGCAGGGTGGGAGCCGGGACCCTCAGGTGTAGCTGAGCTGTGACATTGCTGGTCATCCTTGGTGCTCTTGCTTTTTTGAAAGATGCTTTTTTTTTTTTTAACTGACGTAGAATGAAGAACTGCATGTGGCTTCTCTGTCTCTGTGGAAAAGCCATCTCAGGTTGGCGGCAGACACATTGTCATCAGAGGGGAGCAGCGGCTCTGGTCCTCGGAGCTGGTTCCTCTCTCCCACCCTAAGGGCAGCCCTCCATGGTCCTGTCTGTCCTTCTGAAGTGTGTCCATCCTGACCTGCGGGTCCTCAGCTGCTCCCACACTTGTGCCAGCCCGGAGGGGACTGGTCCCGGTCACCGCGGACGTGCTGGCCTTGGTATGTGCCAGGCTTGCCTGGGCTGGGCAGCCTTGGGGGGGCTGCCTTTGTGGTGGGCGCTGGGGAAGTACGTCCCAGCGGCCTCAGGGTCTAAGGAGCGCTAGTGCCTTGCCCACAGGTGCGGGACCATCTGATGTGATGTGAATACTCTTCCCACATACATTAAACACACTTAAGTGAGTGTGCGCAGGGCTTCTGATTCAGGGCCGGCCTGGCCTGGGGGTTGAGGGTCAGCAGTCAGTGAGGAGGCCAGGAGAGGCGTCCCAGCCTTCTCCCGCCTCCAGCCCACGCAGGGCCTTGGTGCCCATGAGCTGAGCACCCCCACAACCCTAGTCAACGGCCCTATCCTGTGGGGCCTCTGCCACATCTCAGCGGCCCCAGGTGAATGGCTGGCTGCTCAGCACGGAGAGCTGGGGAGAGAATCTCTGGCTGGGGAGGGGCTGCTGGAGCTGCTGGACCCAGGGGTCTCCCGAGGTGGCTCAGGGGAGCAGGCATCTTGGGGTACCCTGGGTTGAGGCAGAGGCTGCACGTGGAAGATGGCCCGAGTCAGTGGATGGTGCCAGTCAGACAGGGCCATGGTCCCAGGTGCATCCAGGGGCTCTGTCATGGCCACCCTGGGGACCCTGCTTGGGGGGGGGTCTGCACCAGCCATTTCCTGGGCTCGTAGATCTAGCAGGATGTGATGGGTGGAGGTGGGCTGGGCCTGTGCCATGGGCTAGAGCGTCACTGGGGAGGCCCACACCGCCATCAGAATCCTCCTCCCAGCGCCTCCCCAACCTGAGGGCCTGCTCCCTCCGCAGCCTGCTCACTGCACCCACTGCCTGCCTGCCTCTGAGTCCTGCACTCACCCGTCCACCAGGACAGGGATGGCTGTCAGGATGTAGTGTTGCTGGGAGCAAGTCAGGTCCTGCTGTGAGGAGAGACCTAAGAGTGTTGGTGTGTGTCCACACACCCGTGCATGCCTGTGTACCTGTGCACACTATGGATGCTCCTGCACACCTGTGTACAACTGCACGCCTGTGTATGGCCATGCATGCATACCCCATGTAACCGTGCGTGCCTGTGCACACTCGGGATCTGCCAGTGGGGCAGTCCAGGGATAAAAGACTCCTGAGAACTCCTTTTGGAGAATTGTGTCCTTCCTGTGACAGTGAAGGCTGCTTGCAAACCAAGAGTCAGTGTAAAAGGTCACTTTTATTTGCCTGTCTGAATTGGCTTCACATCACACACAATTACAGAACCAGCCCCACCGGTTTCGTCGCAGTCCTGAGGCAGGTGCGTGTTGGCTGTGCTGTGGTCAGCCTGGCGCTGCCCTGAGTCCACTTGTCCCTCCACAGAACGAATGACTCGGGTTGATGTTGCCGGATCTCAGGGGTGGCTGTGACTGACAGAGGACCTTGTTGCACCTCGTGGCTGCTTTGTTCACCCGCAGGGCGGCCTGTGGGCACCCCGGGGTTCCCCTTCAGTCCCAAGGAGGGTAAGGATATGGGTTTCCTAGGAGACAGCCAATGACTGCCCTGCATCTGGAGCCAGCCTGTCCATGGGCAGTGCACAGATGACAGCCCTCCCTCACTGCCCTGTGTGCTGGCTACCGCATGTCCTGTGCCAGCCTCAGCCTCTTTGATGTGGCCGTGTTCCATCCTGGCGCTCAGCTGGACAAGTGCTGGCTGAGCCACGTCCCAGCCAGGGGCATGAGATGGGGGCCCTGGATGGGAGGCTGCCAGACCCCAACTCATGGGTCCCTTGAATCTCCCAGCTTGGACTCGGCCAGGGTGGAGCTGTCTGCTTTGGATGTATCATCTCATGGCTCATTTGGGAGGCCAGCCCCAGGCTGCTGTGCTTGGTGTTGGAGGACAGGCCGGAGCTGGGGGTCACAGTGCGCCTCTGAGCTTGGGAACCTGCTTCAGCCTGGGGTTGCTGTGGAGAATGGCCCAGAGCTGAGCAGAAGGGGCTCCCCCTAGCCCCAGGGACCTGAGCCTCCCTCCCATCTACCGCAGGGCGAGCACACACCCTGGAGGAGCCCAGATGGCCTTGTGCTGAGTGTGGCCTCAGCTCCCATTGCCTCACGGGGCCTGTCTGCTAACAGGTCTGGGTTTTGTGCACAGAACGGTGCTGCTAGGTGGGAGATGAAGTCAGCACCTGCTGGGGCGAGCACGGCTTCCCAAAGCAGGAAATCCTGGAGAAATCGAGCCGTGGTCTGATCAGGCCAAGAGGTTGCACAGGGCATGATACTGCACCCTGCCTGACCCAGCTGGGCTCACAGGTCAGGGGAGAGTTGGGGCAGGTGAATGTCAGCATCAGGCTTCTGTTTTAAACTTTTAAAAAAATACACTCTTTGGCTTCCTTTTATTTCTTGAGGATTACATGAAACGTGAACTATACAGGAAAGTATGGCAGCCAGGTCCTGGGGCCAGGGGCTGGCCGGCCGCTCCCTGCCCACGGTGGGGGCTTCCTCCGAGCCGCCGGTCCTCTCCGGCCATCCGCATCCAGGCGGTGGCTACTTGGAGGCAGTCATGAAGCTGTTCTCAATGCAGAGCACGATGTAGGCGTGATGGCAGCTCGCGGCACTCTGCCCCAGGAGCCTGCCCCCCAGCAGCGAGGAGGCCTGGCCCGTGGCCGAGGGAGCCTCCGTCCGCCACGTCTCACAGTAGCTCTCGGTCAGCCTGCGCCCGTTGGGGTCCGAGCCATGCCACACGCTCTTCTGGGGCCTGTAAGACGCGCCGGGCCGTCAGTCAAACCCAGACCTGCTCTGCTTAGGGCAGAGGCCGCTCCCCGGGCAGGAAAGGTGGAGGCAGGAGGCCAGCCCTGGGGTTACCAGGGGGCTGCAGAGGCTCCCACAACCTGGAGGGCCACATGGCCTCCCTGCTGGCTGCCTGTGGAGGGGGCTGCATCTCCCAGACTGCCCCCCATGCTGCTTCTGCCAGACACACCCACGGCAGAGGGGAGAGGGGCCAGGGCTTGGCCTGGCTGGGTGAACCTGGCCCTCATGCCTGCTGAGCAGAGGCTTCCTGTGGCTGCCTCGCTAGGAACCAGCTCCGCCTCCCGGGCTCCTGGCTTTCAGGCCTTCCCTGGGGCCCAGCCCTGCCCACAGCACTCCTGTCAGAGACCCTTGGCAGGTGCATCTCCGTTACAGCAGATGGCCAGGCACTGCTGGGGACACGCTGTGTGGCACCCCGAGACACCCCTAAATGCATGAGTGTTGGAAGAATCGCGGCGCTCACGTGGGGAGGGCACAGCGACATTTGGGACGAAGCGTTCTTCTAGATACCCTGGAAATTTCTGTCAACATTTTAAGGGCACACATGCTCGGACTCCGTGTTGCCCTTTGAGGAGTTTATTCTCGGTGAATAAACTCGCTGCGCTGCTTACATGGCTGACCACAGGCTTGGTGACATCCGGGAGACATGGAGTCTATCCGCCATGAGCAGAGGGCCGGGGGCACCTTCGGGGCCTTCTTACAACTACCTGGCTCTCAAACGCATTGCTAATGATGACTTCTCAGAGCAGTTCTCATTTTTCTCAATGCTCTTTTGGATTTTGTAATTTTAAAGTAATGAGCATGTATAAGATTTGTCCAAAAACTCGGGGGGAAACTGCAGATAGGAGCCCGCCCGCCCGCCTTCCCTGGCTGGGGCTCTCAGAGCTGCTCACACGGCACTGGGAACCTACCAGGTGGGGTGCCTCAGGACGTCCTTGCCGTCAAAGGAGAAGATGCGTGCCCCGGGCTTCAGCGGACCCTCAGAGCCTGAGAACAGAGCCTCCCAGCTGGGAAACAGCAGCTCGTCCTGGAAGAGAAACCGTGTGTATGTGTGTGTGGTGTGTGGGGGTGTGGATGGGTGTGGGTGTTTGTGGGGGGGTGTGTGGATGTGGGGTGTGGATGTGTGGGGGGGGGGTGTGTTGTGTGTGTGGGGTGTGGGGGGTGTTTGGGGGTGTATGTGGGGTGTTGTGGGTGTGTGTTTTTTTGGGGGGTGGGGTTCTGCAGCCCCTGGGCATGTCCTGCCAGGGAACAAGCGTGGGGGAGCCAGGCCTGGCCAGGCAGCCTCTGCAGACCCCAAGAGGCCTTGGCTAAGGCAGGGGACCCTGTCCCCTAACGCCAGGCCACAGCCGCCTGCTCCCAGCCCTGGGTCTCTGACCCCTCTGCTGTTGGTTCTGGGGAATGTGGGTGCTCCCCGGGGCACCCAGAAGCCACAGCCCAGTGCACGAAAAGGGGCCACAGAATAAAGCCACATGGGTGCTGTGGCAGAGGGGCCACCAGCCCGCATGGCACTAGAGGCCCAAAGGACGGTTCCTGATTCCAGGCTTGTATGTGAGCCCTATCACCTGTGTGGACACTTGGTCCAGCAGCATGGGACCCTCTGAGGGGCACTGCCGGGGGAGCGGGGGGTCAGGGGGCCACGGGGGGGCCTCATGGGATGCCCTGGGGGACGTGGCAGTGCCCAGGGATGCAGAGGCCTGGCCTGAGCCTGGAGGGGTGTGACCCACCCGGAGCCTGCCCTGAAGTCGCCAGCCTAGGCGCCAGTGTCTGTAACATGGTGGCCTCCAGAGGCCCTAGAGGGGAGCTCCCCGCTGGGAGTTCACCCCAGAGGTCAAGTGGGGGCCGAGGAGCCCGCGCCCTCAGGACTGGACTGACCCACCTTGAGGTTGACGATGGGCACGGCTGCGCGGTCGGCACGGCGCACGATGCTGTACAGGTCCTGCAGGCGCGAGGACAGGAAGGCGCGGAAGGTGCCCGCCAGCCCCACGGCCCGCGCCTGCTGGAAGCACTGGAAGTCGGCCCCGCGGATGCCCCGCATGCCGCCTGACAGGGGGCTGTTGAGCGCAACCAGGTGGAGCTGCGGGGAGAGGGGCGCGTCACGGGCTGTGTCCCACGCTGCCCCCTGCACCCAGGCCCCGGGCGCACCACCCCGGCCCCGCACCTGTGTGGACAGGCACGGCCGAGGGGCGCTGAGCGGGAGGCGCGCAAGTGACACACTGAGGGGCCCAGGCAGCAGCCCCCATACGCTGCCAGGTCAGAGCAGCCCCGGGCCACGTGGGTGCCCCCAGCTGCCGCTGTAGGCGGAGGTACGCCGGTTCCTCAAGGATGTGACAGCGGCTGGACTTTCATGACCACTGCTTGGCCACCAGAGGGCAAGTCCCAGGGCCAGCCAAGCCGCCCTGAGTGGCCCTGAGCCGCCAGACCCCCACCCATGGCCGAAGCCTGGGACCCCCAGCAGCTCTGCAGGGGCTGGGCCCTCTTCTGCTGCCGAGAGCCGAGGGGCTAGATGGAGCCAAGCCCACTTTGGGGGGGCACTCACCACCGGCTGGAAGTCGCGGTGGCTGTGGGCGGGTGGGCTTGTGGGTCGCGCCGGCCGCAGGTGCACGTAGGAGCTGTGGTGCGGGGCTCCGGGGTAGGGCTGGGGCTCGGGCAGGCGAGGGGGGCTGGCCAGGATGTCATCTGCCCGCCAGGGCCGCGCGGTGGGGTGGGGGTGCTCCCGCCGCGGGTAGGGGTTGCTGTCGTGCAGCTGCACCACGGGGGGCTGCAAGGCGGCCACTTCATTGTCCTGCAGGTGGGAGACGTGGGGCCTGTCGGCGGGGGGACCCTCCGGGTGCCCCTCCTCCATCTGTGTCCTCCTCTGGGCTGGGTGAGAGGGGCTGGGCTCTGAACTGGCAAGCAGGGAGCTGCGCCCCCGACTCTGGGGCTGCCCTGGGGGTGTAGGCAGCAGCAAGGGTGGGGAGTCCTGCCTGCCGTGGCGCCGGATCGCGGGTCACCTCTGCTCAGGCCCCACAGACCCAGCCGTGCTCAGAAGCCGCAGCAATCACTCACCACGTGCCCTGACCTGCCCTCTCCTTTGCCGCGGCTCCAATTCAGGGCCCCTGACCTCAACACGGCGACCTTCGACCTTCTAATCTCCCAGGGCCTTGCTCTGTCTCCCTCAGAGGTGACCTCCACCCTAGAAATCCCAGCCCCCAGGCCTGCACCCCAGTCCGGATGCCCCTATTGATTCTGCACCTTTCCCCACGGCCCTCAGCCCCTCCTGACCCAGCTGCCATTGCCATCCACCTGCACCCTGTCCACATGGCTGTCCCCACTGTCTGCTCCACAGGGCCAGGCTGTGTGTTACCCAGGGCAATATCCATGGCCACCCGGCACACAGGAGGGGCCATGACTATTGACTGGCTGAATGAAAGAATGAATCAGCAAATGAGTGAGAGCAGACTGGGCTGAACCCTGTGAGGAGACAGGCCGCTGTGGAGCCCCTGACACTGCTCCACATCAGGCCTCACTCCTGAGCCAATTAAGGAATCATGACCTCTACTCAAGGAGGGGCCGACAGCAGCTGGACGCAACACTTAGGAAAACGAAAATATTTCTACCCATCCATCCACCCACCCATCCACTAACCCACTTACCCACCATCCATCCACCCACCCATCCACTCACCCACCTGTCCATCCACCCATCCACTCACCCACTTACCCACCATCCATCCACCCATTCATCCACTCATCTACCTATCCACCATCCATCTGCCCACCATCCATCCACCCATCCACTCACCCACTTGTCCACCATCCATCTGCCCATCTATCCACTCACCCACCTGTCCAGCAACCACCCATCCACCTCCCCATCTACCTACCCATCCACTCACCCACCTGTCCACCATCCACTCACCCACTTACCCACTATCCACCCACCCATTCATACACTCACCCACCTGTCCACCATCCATCCATCTCCCCAGCTACCTACCTATCCACTCACCCACCTTTCCATCCACCCACCCACCCGTCCACTCACCCGCCTGACCACCATCCATCCACTCACCCACCTGTCCACCATCTACTCATCCATCCACCTCCCCATCTACCTACGTATCCACTCACCCACCTCTCCATCCACCCATCCATCCATCCACCTCCCCATTGATTCACCCACCCAGTCACCCACCACTCTTAGAGATATCCATTCTTGTGTCTGGCACTTTGGGTGAGGGAAGGCAAAGACACAAGATGTGGATTTTGGCCCCAAGGATTTTGACCTTGAGGAGGGCAATGAGCGGCAGACACAACTGGGAAAGTTGAGGGATGAGAGGGGCTCCCTCGTGAGGCCAGCAGCTGAGACGGAGGTACTGGGGGGCCAGCGCTGAGACAGAGGTAGTGGGGTGTCCTGCACCAGTTTCTGCAGCAGGGGCTGATGGTGAGCCACATGTTCAGCTCCAGGACTCCAAAGGACCACGTGTTGTTCCTCAAACAGGGGACAGCACATACCCCCTCATGTCCTGACCACCCACCAGTCTCAACAGAAAAAAGGCTCCTTACCGTCCCTCGTGGGAGTGGTGTCCGGGCCTCCAGCTGGAAGAAAGCAGCAGGGTCACCCAGGACCTGCGGCTGGGCCTGAGCCAGGGTGCCCTCCCTGCCCAGCACCCGACTCTCCCGCCCCAGCACCTGGCCCTCCCAGCCCACAGGAGGGTGCCCTCCCTGCCCAGCACCTGCCCCTCCAAGCCTGTGCCAGGGTACGCTCCCTGCCCAGCACCCGGCCCTCCCAGTCCACAGCAGGGTGCCCTCCCTGCCCAGCACCCGGCCCTGCCAGCCCACAGGAGGGTGCCCTCCCTGCCCAGCACCCGGCCCTCCCAGTCCACAGCAGGTTGCCCTCCCTGCCCAGCACCCACCTCTCCCTCCCCAACACCCGGCCCTCCCAGCCCACAGGAGGGTGCCCTCCCTGCCCAGCACCCGCCTCTCCCTCCCCAACACCCGGCCCTCCCAGCCCACAGGAGGGTGCCCTCCCTGCCCAGCACCCAGCCCTCCCAGTCCACGGCAGGTTGCCCTCCCTGCCCAGCACCCAGCCCTCCCAGCACGCGTTTGCTAGGATGCCATCCCCTGCCTCCTCCTGTCAGGACCAAAGCCCCTGAAAGTTAGGATGGGGCTGCATCCGGGTGCCTACAAGCACACCTGGCACACAGTGGGCACCAGCTCAGCATCTGCTATGAGACTGGCAGCCTCTCCCTGGCCAGATGAAGGGACTGGAGTGGGATTCACTGTCTGGGGTGCTGCAGGGGCTGGCCAGGCCTAGGAGGGGGCCGGTGGCGAGAGGGAGGGAGTGCTAGAGGGAAGGTGGGAGGGCTCCAGAGGGAAGGTGGGAGGGTTCCAGAGGGAAGGTGGGAGGGCTCTAGAAGGAAGGTGGGTGTGTTGGAAGGTGGGAGGGCTCCAGGAGTCAGGGCTGTGTCAGTGTGCAGTGTTCTGCCATGGAGGCTCCCACGGATGTCACAGGCCGTTTCGGCGGCATGGGGCTTCTACCCGTCCTCACCTTTGCCACACGAAGGTAAACCTTCCCGGGGCCCTGCAAGCATGGCCGCACCCACCTGGATCAGAGCGGCCACTCCTGCCACCCAGACCATTTTGGGAAAGCAGGAAAGGGGCTGGCCTGTCCTGGAAGGGGCAATCCCAGGTGTGTCTGAGGAGCCAGGCTGGTGAGCAAGGCCCGTGCTAAGCAGAGAGGATGCATTTCATCCCACCTTGGTGTTTATAACGCGGGGTGCAGAGCCACGGGACAGCCTGCCCCCCAGCCGGGGCCGTGCTGTGGACGTCACGTGGCCCTGGAGGGCCTGAGCCCCCCTGCCGCCTCGTCCCGTCAGGCGCCTTGTCTTATTATCGGGTGTGTGAGGTGACATTTATCTTTGTAAACGTTCACTGTGACATGACCCACCAGGAGCCCCTCACACGCCATGTGTTCATCCACTTTCAGAAGCTTGAGCTCACTTTTCTTTAAACCCAAAACTGCTCACAAAAGTATTTTACTAAACTTTACCAAAAGTTTGAAAGTTTAAGAAGCGCTGGCTGCCACCTGCTCCCATCCCTGTCCGGGGCCTGAGCCTCTCGCCTTCCTTAAGCCCCAGGAGGCGGCTTCGGCCCTTCCACGGGTCCAGAACCCGTCACACAGAGCGCTCACCTGGACCTTCCGGAACCCGTTCTGCACGCGGACGTAGAGCTCCTCCTGCTCGGCCACGAAGATGAGCCAGCCCTCGGGAACCTCGTGCACCTGGCCCAGCATGGCCTGGCGTGTAGCCCAGAGCCTCACCTGCTGGGACCAAATGCAGAGGTGTGGGGCTTGGCGGGGAGGGCGGGGGGCAGGGGCGGAAGGAAGGAATGCCCGTTTCAGGGTGCTGGGCAGGGGCCGCAGGGCTTTGGACAGGTGTGGACTGAGGCGGCTGCCCCCATGAGCACCATGGGGACCCCTGCCTGCCGCCAGCTCCTGCGCCTCCGTGGACAATGTACAGGCCCTGGGCACTTCCCGGCTGGTGGTCGTCCTCCTGGGTCCACCTGATTCCCCCATGGCCTGGCCCCGCTTCCACCCTGGAAACCGCATCTTGGCCTCCTGTATATCTCCCTGTGGGGTCCGTGGGAGAGTGTCTCTGAGGGGCAGGGGCTGCAGAACCAGCCAGGGCACGGGACGCAGGTGCCCAGCCGGCTGCCCAGACACTTACCCCTGAGGAGGCGCCCATGGTTCCAGGGGGCCCAGGGGGCCCAGGGGGGCCCGGAGGGCCGGGAACGCTGATAGCTGCAGGAGAGAAACCAAGGTGGGAACACGAAGCCACACGAGGCGGCCTCTGCCCGGGGCCCACTCCCCACTGACTTACTCTGCCTGTGAGGGCCAGGAAATGAAGGGGGCCCTGGGGGGCCTGGGGGGCCGGGAGGGCCCTGGCGCCCCTCGTAGCCGATGCCGGGGGGTCCCTGAGGTCCAGGTGGGCCGGGCTGGCCCCGGATGCTCTCTCCCTTGGGACCCTACGGACGGCGACAAGAGACGCTTCCTGGTTACCTCGTGCCCTGGACTGGGGGCGGGCAAGCTTGTGGGGCTGCAGCTGCCAAGACCCCCTTGGCGAGCGCAGCCTCTGAGTCACCGGTCCCCTCCCTGCCCACGCCATAGCCTGAGAAACCCCCACACCATCACCCCTTCTTCCCTGGGGGTGCGATCCCGGGGGAGAGACCAGCAGAGACCTGACAACAGTGTGGGCCCCCAGGCAGTAGCTGGGGCCCATGGCTCTCTGGAGTCTTTCAGGACTGATGGGCCTAAACCCTGATCTGACCTGACCCGGCCCAGGAGCAGAGGTGGATGCACGTGGCCCCAGCAGGAGGGCAGGCCATGGAACGCTGCAGGGGGACGGGGGGTGTCCGGGGTCAGTGCACCCACACCCATGTGGCCTGCTGCGTCCCCACACGGGGACAGGGACATGTCGGGGCTGCTGAGCTTGCAGGGGCAGCTCCGGCCTTCGCGGGTGTCGAAGGCCGGGCTGGACCTGCCCTCGGCTCCTGCACCCAGACCCCTGGGACATGGGCTCTGCCTGCACAGGCTGGGACTTACTGGAATCCCAGGGTAGCCACGTGGGCCTGGGGGGCCGGGGGGGCCGGGCAGGCTGGAGCCGAAGAAACCGCCGCCCCCGGGCTCCCCCCTTTCGCCTTTCTGTCCTGCATCACCTCGGTCTCCCTTCTCCCCCTGTGGACGGAAACACTTGTTACACGGGAGCCCTGAACCCCTACAAGCCACAGGTGGCCTCCCATCCCCCCGAGCCAGGGCTGGGCAGTCAGAAGCTTCCGGAGCCCAGGCCTGGGAGCTGCTGGCTGCATAGAATAGGGCTCGACTCCCCACCTCCCACTGCATCAGCCGAGTCCCCCAAAAACTGAGCCGGGGACAGGAACATCCTGAGGGACGCCCTCGACACCCTCTGGAGCCAGCGCCCCTCGCAGGGCTGAACAGGAAGGGGGCTTGGGCCGGATGGGGCGAGAAATTGGGAGCAGCCACCCAGCGGGATGTACAGGACCTTGGGGGCCCCCAACCCCACAGGGAGGTCACCCACCTTCATTTCAGCCTCCAACTGAAGAAAGTCAAACGGAAACTGCCCTGCAAGAGAGAGACAGGCGGGGTCTCGCTGAGGTGGTGTCTGACAGCGCCGGGTTCCCTCTGCAGCCCCCAGCACTGGTGGGTTTGCCTGAGGCCCTTCTAGCCATTTCGCGGTAGAGATCGCGTATTTAATTAGGTTCTTCCTAGTTAACCGATACTTTCTGATGTTTTTGTTAATGGTGCCTTTTTATTTTTATTTTATTTTTAAATTTTTTAAATTTATTATTATACTTTAAGTTTTAGGGTACATGTGCATGATGTGCAGGTTAGTTACATATGTATACATGTGCCATGCTGGTGTGCTGCACCCACTAACTCGTCATCTAGCATTAGGTATATCTCCCAATGCTATCCCTCCCCCCTCCCCCCACCCCACAACAGTCCCCAGAGTGTGATGTTCCCCTTCCTGTGTCCATGTGATCTCATTGTTCAGTTCCCACCTATGAGTGAGAATATGCGGTGTTTGGTTTTTTGTTCTTGCAATAGTTTACTGAGAATGATGATTTCCAATTTCATCCATGTCCCTACAAAGGACATGAACTCATCATTTTTTATGGCTGCGTAGTATTCCATGGTGTATATGTGCCACAAACAACCCCATCAAAAAGTGGGCAAAGGACATGAACAGACACTTCTCAAAAGAAGACATTTATGCAGCCAAAAAACACATGAAAAAATGCTCATCATCACTGGCCATCAGAGAAATGCAAATCAAAACCACAATGAGATACCATCTCACACCAGTTAGAATGGCGATCGTTAAAAAGTAAGGAAACAACAGGTGCCGGAGAGGATGTAGAGAAATAGGAACACTTTTACACTGTTGGTGGGACTGTAAACTAGTTCAACCATTGTGGAAGTCAGTGTGGCGATTCCTCAGGGATCTAGAACTAGAAATACCATTTGACCCAGCCATCCCATTACTGGGTATATACACAAAGGACTATAAATCATGCTGCTATAAAGACACATGCACACGTATGTTTATTGCGACATTATTCACAATGGTGCCTTTTTAAAACTTCATTTTTAATTGCTTAGGACTCGGTGGTGGTTTTTCTAGACTGCCCTTCCATCTGGTGACTTCGGTACATTGACTTACTCATCCTGAGAGTTCACCTGCAGATCCACTTGTGGGGCTTACGTGGGAGACGTGCTGAGAAAAGAGCAACGCGCTTCTTTCCTCCCAGCGTCCTGCCCTTCCCATCTCTCCTCTGCCTCCTCCCAGGGTGGGCAGGCAGCTGTGTCTTGGCCCTGACTTGAGGGTCCCTCCACCCTCTCCAAGGGTGAAGCTGTGGCAGTTCCAGGTGGCTCCTTCCAGACCACGGAGGAGCCCTTTGCTGAAATCCCTGCTTGTTGCTGCTTCTCTCCTTTTCCTCAGTCCCGGCAGAGGTGCAGGAATGTTGTTCGCCTTTGCAAAGAATTAACTTTGGATTTTTGGACTTTCTTGATCCTTGCTATTTTTATATATAAAACATACGCAATTTCTCTTCACTCATTTTTGATGTTTAATACTTCTTCCCATCTATTTTCATCAAATAACTGTTTGTTGTTCTTTAAATGCTGTTTGTTCTTTAACATCTTAGGCTGATGTGTAGAAACAGGTACTACTTAAAGCTGTAATTTTGTCAACGGAGATGACAAAACCCCTTCTCCTTCCAGGTGGGACCTTAGACGGCCCTGGGCAAACCTTCTCCTGTGACTGTTCCCCTGAAACCGTGACCGGGGTGGGGACCACCTCACCCCTGGAGGCATGCCCTGTAACCCAGAAGCTTTGGAGCACGTGGCTCCACACCCCCAGGGCCCCCCATCCCACAGGAGCCGTCCCTGGGGTTGGAGGTCACTGCTGCTGTCAGGACCCGTGCTCCCTCTCGGGCTGGGCCCTGCTCCGGGTCCTTCTGCAGAGGGAGGTGACCGGCTGTGGAGCCCCTGGGGGTCCTTCGGCAGAGGGAGGTGACCGGCTGCGGAGGCCCCTGAGGGTCCTTCTGCAGAGGGAGGTGACCGGCTGTGGAGCCCCTGAGGGTCCTTCTGCAGAGGGAGGTGACCGGCTGCGGAGGCCCCTGAGGGTCCTTCTGCAGAGGGAGGTGACCGGCTGTGGAGCCCCTGGGGGTCCTTCTGCAGAGGGAGGTGACCGGCTTTGAAGCCCCTGGGGGTCCTTCTGCAGAGGGAGGTGACCGGCTGTGGAGCCCCTGGGGGTCCTTCTGCAGAGAGAGGTGACCGGCTGTGGAGCCCCTGGGGGTCCTTCTGCAGAGGGAGGTGACCGGCTGTGGAGCCCCTGGGGGTCCTTCTGCAGAGGGAGGTGACCGGCTGTGGAGCCCCTGGGGGTCCTTCTGCAGAGGGAGGTGACCGGCTGTGGAGGCCCCACCACCTGGGAGACCGGGGATTGTGCAGGGCAAGGCCCCTGCGGCTGCAGTGTGAGGGCTGAGGATGCCCTGGACGCACCTAAGCTCCCAGGGGTTTCTGACTTCCACCTGCTTCTCCTGGATTCCTGAGCCACGTGGAAGACCACTGCCCTGTGGGCACTTCCCACTTGCTTCTACTGCACTCGTGGGGTCACAGTTCCTGGAAGCCAGGCCTGCTTTCAGCCCAGCCTGGGCCCCTCTGGGGCAGACCCCGGTCCCGATGCTGGGGACGTGGCCTGGAGACCTTCGCAGGTGACGCCTGTCAGACCTGATGTTCAGATCTCCCTGGGCTGAAAGTCCCCCTATAATGATTGATTTGTGTTTTTCTTTTTCACTTTGCCAATTTTTCACTTGTCATATCTTGAGGCTATCTCATTAGATGCATAGAAATGTAGAATTACTCAATTTCTCTGGTAGACTTGCTCCGTTGTCTCAATGAACATTTATTTTTGACCATGTTTCTTACTCCAGGATATACTTTGCACACACACACACACACACCAAACCACACCCCCACACTCCACACCCAACACACACCAAACCACACCCCCACACTACACACCCAACACACACACACCAAACCACACCCCCACACTCCACACCCAACACACACCAAACCACACCCCCACACTACACACCCAACACACACACACCAAACCACACCCCCACACTACACACCCAACACACACACACCAAAACACACCCCCACACTACACACCCAACACACACACACCAAACCACACCCCCACACTACACACCCAACACACCAAACCACACCCCCACACTACACACCCAACACACACCAAACCACACCCCCACACTACACACCCAACACACACACACCAAACCACACCCCCACACTACACACCCAACACACCAAACCACACCCCCACACTACACACCCAACACACACACACCAAACCACACCCCCACACTACACACCCAACACACACCAAACCACACCCCCACACTACACACCCAACACACACACACCAAACCACACCCCCACACTACACACCCAACACACCAAACCACACCCCCACACTACACACCCAACACACACCAAACCACACCCTACACACCCAACACACACCAAACCACACCCCCACACTACACACGCAACACACCAAACCACACCCCCACACTACACACCCAGCACCCCCATAGCCACACTCCACACACACCCCACACCACACACCCAACACCCACATACACACACTCCACACACCCCCACCCCCTCACACACTACACACCCAACACCCACATATGCACACTCCACACCCCTCACACCCCCACTACACACCCACATATACACTCCACACACCCCCACTACACACCCAACACCCACATATGCACACTCCACACACCCCCTCACACCTCCACACTATACACCCAACCCAGCCACACACACTCCACACACACCCACACTATACACCCCCACACTACACACCCACATGCACACACTCCACACTCCACCCACACCCCCACACTGCACACACTCAGCACACCCACATACACACACTCCACACACACCCAAACCCACACCAGCCTCTGGGTGCCTCGACCTCTCCAGCCCTCACGTTCGGGGAGCGTCTCTTGTAAGCGGCACATGGTTTAGCCATATCCCATTGACAATGTCTGTCCTTCAATGGATGTATCTACCCTCGTCATACTTACAGCACCTGTAGATGTATCGGGACCTAAATCTACTGTTTATTCCCTAGTTTCTATTCATCCCACGTGTTCTGCATTCCTTTTTCTCTCATGTTTTGCCTTCTTTTGGATCTACTCTGTGTGTTTTAAACGTCCTGTGTGTGTGCCGTCCTGCCTGCCCTCCTGCCTCTCCACCAGTGTTAGCTCTGCATTCCTCTCCAACCTCACCGTCCAATATAGTGAGAACTACCACCACTCCCCAGGGCGCTGAGACCACGGGAACCTCTAATTGCACTGACGATGGGACACCATGCTGTGCAGCCTGTGCCGGTTCCTGCGGGAGCCTCTGACCCCACTGTTCCTGGGATGCCATGCGGGGCAGCCCACGCGGGTTCCCGAGGGAGCCTCTGACCCCACTGTTCCTGGGATGCCATGCGGGGCAGCCCACACAGGTTCCTGAGGGAGCCTCTGACCCCACTGTTCCTGGGATGCCATGCGGGGCAGCCCACACGGGTTCCCGCGGGAGCCTCTGACCCCACTGTTCCTGGGATGCCATGTGGGGCAGCCCACGCTGGTTCCCGAGGGAGCCTCTGACCTCCCTGTCGCTGGGACGCCGGTTCCTGCCAGCGTTGTCTCTCCCCATCTCTGCACTCCTTTCCCTTGGCCTTGTCTTCCCCCTGAAATACCCTCCACTGCCGACACAGCTCGGGTCTGGAGTGGCTGGCCTGCATGTCATCCTCGTTCTGAAGGCCACGGGAGTACCACTGGCTGTCGGAGTCTACACTGGCAATTGACTTTCTTGGATATTTTGGAAACCATTTATGGTCTTCTGGCTTCTCCCGTTTTGTTGAGAAATCTCGTCACTCTAATTGTTGATCCTTCGAATGAGGGGAATGCTCTGAGCCTTCCTTGGCTTTGGAAGAGCATCAGCCATTCCGCCTGCAAACACTGTTCCCTCTAGAGCCCTCGGAGCCCTCGTTCTGGCTCCCAGGGACAAGCAATCCCACGTCGACCAAAACCTATACACAGGTCTCAATCTCCAACTGTTCCGCCTTCAGCCCCAGGTTCATCCTGACACCTCTGAGCTTCCCAGCTCTCTGCTGCCATCTCCAGACTTCCTGTGGCTTTTGAATGTGTGACCTTCAGAGTTCAAGGTGGGTCCGATGACCCCATGAGCTGGGCCTCCTGGTCTGGTGTGTCACTGGCCTCTTCTCCTGGTTTCTGGTCATCTGTGCATCATTCACTCCTTCCTGGGCGTCGTGTGTGACGCTGAGAGATCCAAGGCTGGCATGGGCACATCTTCCATCTTCCCGCTTGCTTTCTGCCTGCCTTTGCCTCCACAGGCCTTAAGGATGTCCCGGCCCAGACTCGGCCTCTGCCTGCCTGGTCCCTTCCCACCCCAGAGTGCAGCCCCAGCAAGAGCAGGTATGGCGGCCTCCTCTGCAGAGGACCCTGGCAGCGAGAGGGGACCCTGGCGGCGAGCGGGGACCGTGGCGGCGAGAGGGGACCCTGGCGGCGAGAGGGGACCGTGGCGGCGAGAGGGGACCCTGGCGGCGAGAGGGGACCCTGGCGGCGAGAGGGGACCGTGGTGGCGAGAGGGAACCCTGGCGGTGAGAGGGGACCCTGGCGGCGAGAGGGGACCGTGGCGGCGAGAGGGGACCCTGGTGGTGAAAGGCGCCCGAGGCTAGCCTGGCTCTCTGGGCTTCTGCTCTGCCAGCCCCCAGACATCCTCAAACAGTGGTTTTCTCACATTTTATCCAGCTGTTCTCAGTGGTCTTGGCAGGACATCCAAGCAGCCCTGCCACCCTCAATGGAGGTGGGGCTCAGGGGGGAATTCTTGTCCTTTGGGGGAGCAGGGGTGCTGGGCTCACCCTCCAGACGGCCTGTCGGGCAACGCCTCCTTCCCACATGAAACCCTGGAGAGTTTCTCGACAGAGGGTCCTCCAGTGCCGACCCCCGGCCCCGTGGAGGGGAGGGGGCATCTCAGGACACTGAAGCTGCTGTGTCTCTGCGCAGTGCCCACCTGGGTCTAGCATGGAAGGGCAGCCATCTGCTCCTCAGGAGGTGATGGGGCTATCTTGCTGGGCTTGTGCCCTGCAGCCACCCTCGCCCCCAAATCCAGGTCCTATGAGGCCCCCATCAACCCAGAAGGGGCTTCCTTCCTCCCGCAGGGTGAGGTGGTCACCACCCAGTGAGGGTCCAGGACCTGCTTGTGGTGGCGGCTCTAGGTGTGACCACACTTCAGTGCTGGCCACGCCATGGCTCTCCTGCCTGGGATGTCCAGAGTTGCTCACCTGGTGGTCCGGGGGGGCCCACTTCTCCTTTGGCGCCCTTGGGTCCTGGAGGGCCCTGATTCCCTGGAGGAAGAGAGACCCAGTGCCCATCAGGAATGTGCCAGGGAGGACTCCAGGGTGGTGCCCCTCCTGCCCGAAATGCCCTAGTGCCTGGGGGCCTGGATGGGGGGGCATCAGATGGACATGGGGACAGTCAGGGTAGGAGCTGCTGGAGAGCAGGGGCGCCCTGGGTCCCCGTCAGCAGGCCATGTGGGGGCCAGGCCACACCTGCAGGGCACGTGCTGACCAACAGGAGGGACGGGGCTGCTTCCACCCTGCTTTGGCCAGAGAAGCAAAATCTCAACGGAGAACAGCAAATGGGGGCCACCCCAAGGTCAGGTCCTGGACGGCTGTGCTGGGAGGGCCCGCAGGAAGGGCCAAGGTCATCGGAACTGGGGCGTGGGCTGGGCGTGTAGCACTGGCCTTGGGCCACTGGGGGAGTCTCACTGCTGCTGGCACGGGAAGGAAGGTGGGGCTCTGGAGCATCCCTTCAGAGCCTGTGTCCCCAGCTGTGAGCCCAGGACCCTCACCTGGCAATCCTGGAGGCCCGGGGCGGCTGGACTCAGCAAACACCTGCAAGGAACGGGGAGAGGCGGCTGCTGAGGGCGATGTTCTGAAATGGAGGCCACCACCACTCAGGGGTCCCCAAGCCCAGAAGCACCAGCCCCTGTATGAGGCCACATAGCAGCCTCCCCCAGTCAGAGACGGGAGGGAACAGGGGTACGGAGAGCAGGAGCCACGGCCTGACGCCACTTGGCCCTCATTGGTCACTTCACCTTGCTGAGCCTGGGAAAATGGGGGTGCCCCTAGCAACCCTGGGCTCAGGCCCTTAGCAGAGCCAGCTGGAAGCAGCTCCACACCCAGAGAGCCCTCCCTTTCCCAGGCCTTCACCTTCCGTGGGAACTCAGCTGCTAATCCACTGCCCACCAGACTGGCACATCCTAGAAGGACCCCCAGACGCAGAGGCCAGGGGAGAAGAAGGCCCAGCCCCTCTGTGGGGCTCTGTGTGACAGCCAAGGGTGGCTGTAGGACAGTGGGTGCCCTGGGGACTTACATTGCTGTCGTAAACAGGAGTCCCTGGAGGGCCTGGGGGCCCTGGAGGTCCTGGGGGGCCGGGCATTCCCTGTGGGGAGGGCAGAGAGCTGTTAGGCTTATGGCCTGCCTGTCAGGCAGCAGCTGGGAGCAGAGACAGTTCAGAAAAATCAGAAAAATCAGAAACCTGACCAGGCAGACCTCTGACCAGGCAAAACCGAGAATGCAGTGGGTCACTCGGGCCACGGCTCCCTGAGGACAGGAACTGGCCCCGGCCCCACCTCATCCCACGCTGGAGTCGTGCACAGACGTCCCTCGGGAGGAGTGAAGAGGCCACCGGGTCTGCGTCTCAGGTAAAAAGGTGACTGAAAATGCCCCACCCTGCTGACATCAGGGAGACAAAGCTCTTGGCTCAAAAGACAGCAGAGTGGACACCTTTGGGCTGAGCGGGAGAACCCCCAGCATGGAGGGCTTGGAGGGCATGGAGGGCATGGAGGGCATAGAGGGCATGGAGGGCATGGCCCAGGCCCATGGATGCCCTGCTGAGAATCCACAGGGGCCTGTTGTATGTGTGTATATGGGTGCACATGTGTGCATATATGTGTATTGGTGTGTATGCATGTGTATATGTATGTGTGCATGAGTATACATGTGCAGTGTGTATGCCCATCATGGAATGGGCCAGGGAGGGCTCATAGTCATGTATGTGGATACACATGTGGATACGTGCACATGTATGAGTGTATGTATATACCTGTATGGGTGTGCACGTGGACAGGCTCGTATATGCATGAATACATGTGTATATGTGCACCTATGTGGAGTGTATGGGCATGTGTACACACATGAGCACGTGTGGATGTGTGTGTGCGTGTATGTGTGCGCGTGTGTATGGGCATGTATGTGCATAGATGCATGTGTATATGTGCACACATGTATGAGTACGGCCATATATGTGCATGCATGTTTGGGCACACGTGTGCGTGTGTGGACATGTATGACTGTGCATGGGTATGGCATGACCAGTGCTGTGTGGCCACATGGCAGGGCTGCTTATAAGTGGCCTCTGGGAGGAGCTGCAGGACCCCAGGCTGTGGCCAGGCCATTCCCAGGTCCTGGTCTCCCAGCCACCCAGTCCGCCCCTTGAGAGACACTCACCCTCATGCCAAATCCAAGGCTGGCATCTCCCGGCTCCCCTTTCTCTCCTTTCAATCCGTTCATCCCGGGGCGACCCTGGGGCGGAGCACAGGGGGTGGGGACTGCTGGGCACTGATGATTACCAGACACCTTCCCGCAGGGTGCCTGCCGTTAGCCCCACGCCAGGCCCGGCCGGCCCACGCTCAGCCTCACACGTTCCCAGCTCTCAGGCTACCCCGGCCCTTCTCACCCCTTTCCTGCACAAGGACCCTTTTGGGAGGAGGTGACTGAGCCTAGCACACACAGGCCCACTGCCCTGTCTGCCTCCAGGGCTTCCTCCTGGGTACTGGCCCCTCGTGGGGTACTGCCAGCCACATCCAGGACAAGAGCTGCGCTCAGGCAGGGCCGGTTCTTGGGGGAGGACAGTGGGTGCGGCGGCCGTCCACTCCCCTCTGGGCATGTCACCCCCGTGGGCCTGGGCTGCTCCCCACCTGCCAGACCCCATCTGCCGCCCCCACTGGAGACCCCAGGTCCTCACCGGCCGTCCAGGAAAGCCAATCTCTCCCTTGTACCCCGGCCGTCCGTATGGACCCTGCAAGAGGAAGGGGGCCAGGCTTAGTGGGGCAGACCCTGGCCCTTGACCACGAGTTGGGGGGTCCTGGGGAAGGGGAGGGGCCATGCAGAGCACAGCACCCTGGGCCACCCATCAGCTCGGAGGAGCCCACTGCAGCCTCACGCCGACACCTGCCCCACACGCTTTAAAACTGCACTAGGGAGATGAGCCCTGGGCCGCACAGCACAAGCTCAGCAGCCGCGGGCGACCGTGTCCTTGGGGGCCGTCATGCCCGAGCTCAGTGCAGAGAAAGCCAGGGACCGACTTACCGGGGGTCCTCGGAAGCCCGGCTCTCCCTGAGCAAAAAAACAAGAAGACAGGGTTAGGTGGCAGCTTGTGCCCCACCTGGCAGCCTCTCTGAGGGCCCCTGTGGCGAAGGCACGGTTAGGTGGCGGCTTGTGCCCCACCTGATAGCCTCCCTAAGGGCCGCTGTGGTCCCTTTGGGTGCACTGGGCCGTCCCCAAGGCGCAGGCAGCCCTGGGGAGGACAGGAGCCACTGGTGAGGGGAGGGTCGGGTTTGGGGTTTGCGTCCAGGTTGGTGCGTGCATGCATGCCCCGGGACCCTGAAGCAGGGGTGGAGGGTGGAGGGTGGAGGGCATGTGCCACGCAGTGTCCTGGTTGCCACAGGCCCCAGCTCCAATGCACAGCTGGGTGGGATAGTGGAGCTCTCACTGGGCCTGGGGATCCTGTGTCTGAGGCCCACCCCAAACACCCCGGAGGGCTCACTGCTCCCTCTGAAAGTGGGAGAGCCGGTGGCCCACACTCCAAAGATCCAGGCTTCTCCCCAGGACCCTCCCCGAGGGCTTTTCTGGGCGGCTGCCTGCTGGGGGTGGGGACGCAGGCACAGGCCCCTTGAGGAACTGACTCCGGGCCCTGCCCACAGCATCAGGGCCCCCAGGAAGAGGCTGGAGGGGCAGCCAGAAACCTGCTGAGGCTGAGCTGGTACAGCCTGGGCTCCTGCACCCCACAGGCCAGGCCCCAGGGAGGCGCGAGCTCAGAGCTGCAGCCCACTGAGAACCTCCCCTCAGCAGGGTGGGCTCAGGGGTAGGGAGAGGACGAGGGGCAGGGAGAGGACGAGGGGCCGGCGGAACCGCCGACATGGGTGCGAGAAAGGAGGGGCCACCAGGGCCAGGCCTGGATGGTAGAGCCCTGCTTGGGAGAGGCTCGTGCATCAGGAGCCAGACCCTCAGGAAGACCCTCCCCAGGCTGTCTCCACAGCCCCAGGAGCCCCCACGCCTGCCGGAAGGAGGCTGCCCGGCCCTCACCTTGGCTCCTTTCTGGGCAGGGCCCAGGGCACCGCCGTCGGGGCTGAAGATGCTGCCCGGTTCACCCTTCTCACCCTGGAATGGCAGGAGGTCCAGCAGAGTCAGGGCCAGCTCCTTCCCCACAAAGCCTCACCCAGAGCCCCGAAGGCAGGGCCGCTGTGACTGGGCCTCGCAGGCTGGGTCCTTTCACGGGAGGTGACCACAGGGACGGCCCGAGCAGGGATGTACCCCTCACGTGTCACAGCAGCAGCCGGGGGGTCCCAGGTCCCTCCCAACAGTGGTCATCTGGGCAGGCTGGAGCCACCCCTGGGTCACAAAGGGGGTTGAGGGACAGCACCTGAGCCCCTTACCTTGGGTCCCGGGGAGCCTCGTTCGCCCTTAGAGCCCAGGTTGCCCTTGGGTCCTGCAGGTCCCTGGAATGGAGGCCAGGCCGTGAGGCCCGAGCGGCTGGCATCTCCCCCATCCCCGACGGCTGCTCCATCTCCCCCGACAGCTGCCCCCCGCAATATGCCTGCCTCGACAGCCCGACCAGGGCCCCTCGCGGCCCCAGCCTCACTCTGGACACTGCAGGCCTCCGCAGGTGACCCCCACCAGGACACCTCCCGGCCCCAGCCTCACTCTGGACACTGCAGGCCTCTGCAGGTGCAAGGAGCTGCCTCACCCTCACGGGTGCCCACCCAGCACAGGGCCTGCCAGCGGCTCTCGCCCACATCCCACTCCCATCATTTCCTTGGGGGCAGTGACTGTCGCTATCCCTCGGGCCTGACAAGGCCCACCCCAGCTCGACCGGGCTGCTCTGTGCTACCAGGTGGAGACCCCTCCCCAGCCGGGCAGCATGCAGCTCTGGCACCAGGTTACTCACGGGAAAGCCTGCGAAACCCGGCCGGCCCTGGGGAAAGAGGGACGGCGTCAGCTGGGGTCATCACGCACCCTCGCGCCTGCCCGGACCCCACCCAGCCTTGTACCCAGGTCCCCGCAGGCCCGTCTCTTAGAAGCTGGGCAGGCACATACCTCAGGTCCCGGCACGCTCAGGACGGATCCCTGTCCACGAGCAAAAGGAAAAATCGGAAACAAAGAGCCGCGTTTAAAATTCAACTGGACTCGAGCGACTTACAGATCAACAAAACACCAAACCAGGAAATTCAAGGAAAATGTTGCTTTCCAGTCTTCCTGGGCCTGGGGCATCCCTCCTGCAGCACAGACGCCCCTCAGCTCAGAGCAGCTGGATGCAGACTCCAGACGCCCTAAGGGCCATGGTTTTTACTTCCATTTTGTTTTAAAATGCTCCTGCCTCTGCTAGACGCTCCCTTGCTTGCCGGCGGAGGTGGCTCGGCCTACGGGAGGCTTTTCTGATGTTCTGATGTCTTGACCGTCACGCCGAGGTCCCTGTGGCCTCTCGGGCTGCCCCTGCCTCCCGATGCCTGTCTGCCTGCTCCTAGCAAAGCCGTGCTGGGGCAAGCCCTCTCCTGCCTGTTCCCAACTCCACCCCTCCTCTCAAGACTGTTAGAGTCCCACCTCCTAGGTGGGGAGCTGGAGCACAAGGGTTAGGTAACTTGTCCAGTGTCACACAGCTGACGGTGCCTGCTCTCAGCTCTGCCCCGGGCAGCCCCCCTTCCACTGGTGGCCACAGAGAACTCTGCAGGGATCTGAACCCCTGGCCACACCCAGCTCTGCTGCCCTGGGCCCTGCATCTGCCCAGGGCTCAGCTCCCTGCCCAGAGTGGGGCTTGGTCCCTGTGTTCCATGTGGCTGGGCGGAGATGCGTCTGCCTCTGTGAGGCCAGGGTGGCACAGGGACCAGTGGGATGCACTGCTGGCAGGCGCAGAGGGT
Source organism: Homo sapiens (assembly GCF_000001405.40). Taxonomy (NCBI): domain Eukaryota; kingdom Metazoa; phylum Chordata; class Mammalia; order Primates; family Hominidae; genus Homo; species Homo sapiens. The sequence goes on along the minus strand of NW_025791815.1, from coordinate 108,981 downwards.
GCAGCTGAGAGGCCTGATGGACGGGCCGCAGTGGGGGAGGAAGGTTCCGGAACCAACACAACCTTCACCAGAGGGGCCAAGGGTGCATCTGCTTCTTCTGACGGGGCAGCTGGGTGACTACATGCAGCTTTGGGGCCACAGTGTCAAGGACACAGGGAGTGAGCCCAATGGGAGCCTTTGACGTAAAAACACTGGCCCCTGTGCAGGCCCTCCCCTCTCCTCGGTGTCTCCAACACCACATGGAGCTGGGCTCCCCAGGCGTCTCTGACCGAGGGCGTCTGCAGCCCCCACCGAGGAGGTGGAGTGTAGACTGGCAGTCAGGGCCTGTCCTGACCTGGGGGATGTGGGGGTGTGGGGGGGGCTCGGGGAGGGATCTCTGCACCCCGTGGGGGGTCTGGACAGATTGGGTGCCCACCCACGCAGCGTCCTTACGTCCTGCTCCGACACGTAGACCACAGGTCCCGGGGGTCCGGGGGGGCCAGGGAGGCCCGGCTGCCCGACTCCGTCCTTCCCTGGATCTCCCTGGAAGAGGAGGCCACGCGTCCGGCATTTCATCTCAACCGCTCTGGCCAGGACCCCAGAGTCCACCCAGCCCTGGAGGGGGTGCCCAGAGCCCACGGTGGGTGAGGAGGCGCCCGGGGCTGTGGACTGTGGCCTTGGAGCCCCCTGCCAGGCAGGGCAGGCTCCAACAGGGACGGTTGAGCCACACACGCTGCCCCCAGCCTGAAAGCCACCCCTGTCAACTTGAGGGTCTTTGCCCTGAGTCTCTGAGGTCACATGGGCAGCAGGGGCACGGACCTGGGGCAGCTGAGGCCAAACCTTCTGGGATGTCCCAGCGCCCCCCATCCCCATCCACCCGCCCCAGGGACACTCACCTTTTCTCCCCGGCTGCCTCTGTCTCCCTTTGGCCCCTGGAGAGACAGGAAGGAAATGGTTCATCACCAACAGAAACAGGAGCCCCTGGCCCCCCGTGAGGGATGGCTCTGATGAAGATGTGGGGTTCTTTATTTCCCGACCGGCTGGGGCCTGGGAGGGAGGCAGCCACCAAGAGCCCTGACGGAGACTTATACTTAACTCCTGGCGCTCCGGGAGTGGGCACACGGAGGCCCAGAGACCTGGGAGGGCACACGAAGGCCCAGGGACCCGGGAGGGCACACGGAGGCCCAGGGACCTGAGAGGGCACACGGAGACCCAGGAGGGCACACGGAGGCCCAGAGACCCGGGAGTGGGCACACGGAGGCCCAGAGACCCGGGAGGGCACACGGAGGCCCAGGGACCCACGAGGGCACATGGAGACCCAGGGACCCGGGAGGGCACATCTCGTGCCAGCTTTCATCTTAGCATAGTCCCTTCAGGGCTCCACGCCCCCCCTGCACCCTGGGCCCACCAAGGCAACTCACCTGGGGCCCAGCAATGCCCTCTCTGCCAGGGAGGCCGGGGAACCCGGGGACTCCATCTGCTCCAACTTCTCCCTGAAAGGGTCACATGGAGGACGCAGGGCATTGGCCACACGCCCAGGAATGCAGGGACCCCCACGAGGAGTCCGGGGCACCCGTGGACGTGGCGATGGCCTGGACTTCTCTCTCTCACCCCTGTGGGCCTGAGCAGGGGCTGTGGAGGGATGGAGGAGTGGGGGAGGGGGGAGTCAGGGGGAGGGGGGAGTCGGGGGGAGGGGGGAGTCGGGGGGAGTGGGGGAGGAGGTGTGGGGGACGGGGAAGTGGGGGAGGGTGTGGGGGAGGAGGTGTGGGGGACGGGGAAGTGGGGGAGGGTGTGGGGGAGGAGGTGTGGGGCAGGGGGAAGTGGGGGAGGGGGAAGTCGGGGAGGAGGTGTGGGGCAGGTGGAAGTGGGGGAGGGGGAAGTCGGGGAGGAGGTGTGGGGGAGGGGCAAGTGGGGGAGGCAGTGTGGGGGAGGGGGAAGTCGGGGAAAAGGAGGGAGAGGCGGGAGGCCGGTGGCAGGGGCCGACGGGGCCTGCACAGCCAGACAGCCGGGAGGGAGGAAGGCCATGTTCCTGACGCAGTCAAACCTGGGGGTGCCCTGGGGTTGGGTGCCCTGCAGGTGGGTATCCTGGGGGTTGCCTTTGAAACCAGCACGTCTTCAATTATAAAGAAACAAAGCAGTGGCAGGAAGAGCGGGGAAGGCCGCCCCGAGCTGATCTCCGCAGGTGTCCGGCTGGGCCCTCCCTGCCTCTGCCTGGCCACGTCCCTGAACCCGGGCACAGCGCTTACCTTCGCCCCCGGCAGCCCAGGCACGCCAGGATCCCCCTAAGTGAAAAAAGGGGCTCCGTGAGCACCTGCTGGGGCCAGCCCAGTCCTCAGGCAGCGTCCACCCCGGGTGAAGGGAAGGGTGAGTTACCCAGGATGCATCTCACCGCCCTCCCCCAGCCCAGAGCCGAGGGGTCCCAGGGACACTGAGCAACTTGTGCAGGGACCCCGTGGGCCCAGGCTGGCTGAAGGCACCCGGCCGGGACGGCTGCGGAACCTGGGGACATATTCCATCACTAGGACTGCAGACTGCAAGAGGAACCCCGCTGAGACGGCCTCATTCAAACAATTTAAGAAAGCAAACACACGGCCCTTCCCATAAGTCAGCCTTTTGAGTGTCCCGATGTCTTGCAAATGAAAGCAAAGCTCAAAGGAGCAGGTGCCATGGCAGGGGCTGGTGACGCGTGAGAGTGCAGCCCCAGGGTGGGCCCCGTGCGCCCTTGGCCCCGCACGCAGCAGAGGACGCTTTGATGAGCACGCAGCGGGGTGAAAGGCGGCTGCTGCCCAGGGCCTAGGAGAGGAGGCTCCAGGCTCCCTGCTCAGGCACCTGCCCTGGGAGCTTCGGGGCCTGGGTGGGGTGGGGTCTTCGGGGCCAGGCTGGGGGCTAGTGTCCCCCAGGGATGGGGGGAGCAGAGGACAAAGCTCCTGGGTCCTACAAGGTCACCACGGCTCTGTCCCTGAGCCCAGGAGTCCACCTGTCCCTGAGGCTGAGGTGGGGACCCTGAGTTCTTCCCCTATGCCCCTCTTTTCGGCCCAAGTCTGAGAATATGCTTCAGGTGTGTGAACCCAGGAATCTTGATTCCTGGGCTTCGGAGAGAGAACGGGACAATGGCCCCTTAACGCTGGAAGTCTAGGTTGGGGTTGGTGTGCGATTATTTCCCTGTCAGGCTTTTTTGCTGTATTTTGCAAACTTCCCAGGATGAATTCATCCTACTCCTGCCATCAGAAAACCCGAGGCAAGGCCCTGTCTCCCCCAGCCCCAAGATGTCGAGACAGGGCCAAGCCAGCAACCACAGAAACCCAGACATATCCGTCACTGACCTTAAGTCCCGGCAGGCCGGGAGGTCCCTGTCAGGGCAGAGGAGACACAGTGTTAGTGCAGCTGGAGGCCCTGCTGTGAGATGCGTCTGCCGCAAGAAAAGCCCGCTAGTAACAGTCAAGACTTCAAAATACGTGTGTAAAAGGAAATGTACTAAGTTAAAATGGTAAAGCCATTCTAACTTACTATGGAATCAATTAGTTTCTGCCTAATTGAAATTTCTCATTCGTTTTGCTCCAAGTAAGAAATGTGTCCCAGCCACCCGTGCTCTCAACAGGCTGAGTCTCTGAGCATGAAGCTGGACGCTGTGGCTTCAGCCACCCCACGTGTCTCTTGGGCAGGGCTGTGGCCCCGGGGGCTCCTCCATGCTGGCGCCACGAGAGCGCTGGTGGTGTGGAGGGGACAGTGGGGGCAGGGGAGGAAGGAGCTTGTGGCCCCTGGGTCTGCCCCTGGCACGTCTGAGCTGTCTGAGCACAGTTGTTTTGGGATTTTGGTCACTCCTTGCTGGCTCTAACCCTGAGCAGTATACATGTTAACAGTAGAAGAAAGTGGAGATTTCATAGGAATTTCAGATTCTACTCAGGCCAAACATTTGTTACTACCAAAAATTGGGGCCACAAAAAGAATGTGATGACTTGAATTTCCCCAGAAAGGCCTTTCAGGGGGCATGCGGCCCCGTGTTCCTTTGTCTTGACCACTCACAGTGTCTCCCACTTTGCAGACCAGGCCCTCACCCCGTGACTTTAGTTCAATGAAGGGGCATCTCCGAAGAACAAGGGTGGCCCGCGGGGCACAGCGCCCGCCACACGTGGTCCTCACGGCTCTGCAGGGCGGCTTCCGATCCCATGCAAGGCCGGTGGCTCTCAGGGACACTCTCCTGCCCCAGGCAACACCCCCTTACCCCTCAGAGCCGGCCACGCCCAGCTCACAACACTACCTGTGGCCCATCAGCGCTTCGGGCTGTTGACCAGAAGGGCCCCCCGGAGCCTTCCATGTCATCCTGGAAGAGACACACGAGACACGTAGGGGCCTGTGTCCCTTCTTAGGGAAGGACCCCTCCCTGGGGTGGCACTGCCCGAGAGGAGGGTGGGACATGCTTTGGGGCCACGGTGGCCTGGGGAGCCGCCGTTCTCAGATGGGGACTGTCTACCTGGTGGCAGGGCCTGGGTGGAGCCCCCCCGGGGCAGCCCGTCTCGGGTCAGCTCATTCGCTCTTGGTCAGGGCACGGGTGCTGGGGCATGGCTGGGCCAAGATCCCCATCAGCACCGTGGGGCACGGGCGACGGGCGAGAGACTCGAGCCCCACCATGCGGAATATGGAATCCCAGGATGAGGCAGTGCCAGCAAGGCCACCGCCCAGGACGTGCTGCTCTGTGAGTGAGATGCCAGGGGTAGTAGGGCTGGGGCAACGGCAGCCCCCGGCTCTCCAGGGGGTCAGGTGTAGGCGGTACTCACAAATCCAGCGGGGAGTCCTGGTCCTGGGGGCCCAGGGGGCCCAGGGGGGCCTGGTGGTCCAGCAGGTCCGGGGGCTCCTGCCAGGCCGCTCTCCCCACGAGCACCAGCAGGACCGGGGGCTCCCTTGCTCCCCTGCGTGGGGTGAGGAGAGCGTGTCAGGACCCAGCCCAGCCCCCGCTGGCCCTGCAACCCCAGCGTAGACACGTTTTCTTATGATGCTTTCTAAACCCTGCAAATCAAAAGGTAAGGAACATTCTGCCAAGCAACGCAGGCCCCACAGCAGCCTTTCTTCTAACTTTACGACACGATTTCAGCCACACAGAAACACAACTGAGGAGAGAGCCACGGAGCCCGAACTTGGTCGGGGTTGGGCCCACATGCACAGGGGGAGGCCCACATGCACAGCGGGAGGTGCACAGGGCACCCTCGTTACCTCCAGCCCTGGCTCCCGGGCAGGCAAGGGGAGAAGAGAGGAGAGAGGAGAGGAGGCTCAGGACCCTGGGACCAGCCCTGGCTCCCGGGCAGGCGAGGGGAAAAGAGAGGAGAGAGGAGAGGAGGCTCAGGACCCTGGGACCAGCCCTGGCTCCCGGGCAGGCGAGGGGAGAAGAGAGGAGAGAGGAGAGGAGGCTCAGGACCCTGGGACCAGCCCTGGCTCCCCGGCAGGCGAGGGGAGAAGAGAGGAGAGAGGAGAGGAGGCTCAGGACCCTGGGACCAGCCCTGGCTCCCCGGCAGGCAAGGGGAGAAGAGAGGAGAGAGGAGAGGAGGCTCAGGACCCTGGGACCACTGGGGCTAGGGTAGACACAGGCATTGCGGTGACTCTATTAGTCCGAAAGCCGTGAGAAGCAGGCGAGCCCGGAGGCATGTGCTGGAGCCATCGGTGACCCAAGGCCCCAGCCACCTGGAGTGTGAGGTGAGAGCCCGGTGTGGGGGGCGTGAGGGAGGGAGGCCCTGAGGCAGGGGTCCCGCTGTGACGTGGCCCAGCTGAACCACCCCTCTCCTCGCAGCCACAAGCTCCCTGAGCCTCGGTTTCCGTGGCTGTAGACGGAGAGGCCCAGGGTTCCTTCCCAGGCTCGGGACAGAGCGGAATGAGATAGTGTGAGCCCAGCACTGTCCACAAATGGGGCAGGAATGTGACCCGCTGCCTTGATATGGTCACAGGCCCAGCTGGAGGAAGGAAACCCCCTCTGTGGGGAAGGGTCCTTCCTGCTTCCCATGTCCCCCACAGGGGCTGGGCCTCCAAGCCAGAGCTTTCCCCGCCCTCCACCCGCCAAGGTGATCCTCGACTGCCTCCTGTCTCCTCCCTTCTAGGTCTGGGTCTCCACTGCAGCCACCCTCCAACAGCTACGCTGGGTCTTAACAGGTGGGCACCATGTACCACCCACTTAACTTGAGGGCTAACTTCATGAGAATCTTAGATTTTACTTTCTTGGCTTTAATCTGTCTTAGTGCCTGGCATCCTTTTATCGTCTTTAAAAATCTAATTTTTTTTTCTTTTTGGACACAGGGTCTCGCTCTGTTGCCCAGGCTAGAGCACAGTGGCATGATTGTAGCTTACTATAGCCTTGAACTCCTGGACTCAAATAATCCTCCCACCTCAGCCTCCCAAAGTGCTGGGATTACAGGTGTGAGCCATCGTGTCCAGCCTCATCTAATTTTTGATCTTTAAAAAGTGCCTATAAAAAAGTTTGTTTAGGCCGAGTGTGGTGGCTCACGCCTGTAATCCCAGCACTTTGGGAGGCCGAGGCAGGTGGATCACCTGAGGGCAGGAGTTCGAGACCAGCCTGGCCATCATGACGAAACCCTGCCTCTACTAAAAAAAAAAAAAAAAAAAAAAAAAAAAAAATTAGCCAGGTGTGGTGGCAGATGCCTGTAGTCCCAGTTACTCGGGAGGCTGAGGCAGGAGACTCACTTGAAACCGGGAGGCAGAGATTGCAGTGAGCTGAGACTGCACCACTGCGGAGACTCTGTCTCCAAAAAAAGGTTTGTTGAAAACCTCTTTCTAATTTCATCCCTTTTTTCTTCATTTTCTATTTGGTTTACAATTAGGTTGTAGGGTTCTAGAATTCTCATTCATGTTACTTGACATTTTTGTTTTTTTAAAACTTTCATTATTTTCATACATGCATATCTAATTTTGCTGATTTTAAAGTTGATCAAAATATTCCTCCCCTGCTTAACTCAAAGCCTACATGTGTACGTGTATGCACACATACTAGAGACACAGATGTGCACACACACTACAAATACATGTGTGTGTACATATGCTAGAGAGATGTGTGTGCATGTGTGCTAGAAAAACGTGGGCACATACCTAGATACATGTGTGTGTATGTGCACATAAGAGATGCGTGTGCACATGCCCCAGATACATGTGTTGCACATATACACCAGATACATGTGTGCATGTATGCTAGAGATACACGTGCACATACATGAGAGCTGTGTGCACATGTGCTGGCTATGTGTATGTGCACATATGCTGGAGAGGTGCATGTGTGTGTGTGCACATATGCTGGAGAGGCGTGCATGTGTGTGCACACATGCTGGAGAGGTGTGTGTGTGCTCACATATGCTGGAGAGGTGTGTGTGTGTGTACACACATGCTGGAGATGTGTGTGTGCGTGTATGTGTGTGCGCACATATGCTGGAGATGTGTGTGTGCATGTGTGTGCATGTATGCTGGAGGTGTGTGTGTGCACATATGCTGGAGATGTGTGTGCCTATGTGTGTGTGTGCACATATGCTGGAGAGGTGTGTGTGCACATATGCTGGAGATGTGTGTGCCTATGTGTGTGTGCACATATGCTGGAGAGGTGTGTGCGCGTGTACATATGCTGGAGAGGTGTGTGTGTACATACGCTGGAGAGGTGTGTGTGCGTGTGCACATATGCTGGAGAGGTGTGTGTGTGTACATATGCTGGAGAAGTGTGTGTGTGTGTACATATGCTGGAGAGGTGTGTGTGTGCATGTGTACATATGCTGGAGAGGTGTGTGTGCATGTGTACATATGCTGGAGAGGTGTGTGTGTGCATGTGTACATATGCTGGAGAGGTGTGTGTGCATGTGTACATATGCTGGAGAGGTGTGTGTGTGCATGTGTACATATGCTGGAGAGGTGTGTGTGTGTATGTGCACATGCATTCACTCCCAGCCCATGTCCTCTCAGCCTCTCCAAGTGCTCTCACCACCTGACTCGCAGCTGTCCTCTTCCTCACTCCTCTCCCCACTGGCCTTCCTTCCCTCATCACCCCCATCCTGGAGCTTGGCCATGTTCTGGGGAAAGTTCCCCGTTAGTGCCAACCCCGTCCAGCCAAGGTGAGGAGCTCCTGACGTTTTGGACATGATTCGAGTGGGCGGCCCACGGAAGCCTGGATCCTCGAGGGCACCTCCGGGGGCGTCTGTGGTGGGGTCGGCACAGATGCCGACTGGAGGCCCAGACCCGGCTCCCAGCCCCTCCTCTGCAGGGTTCTAGCTCCTCCTCCAGCTCAATTTCCGCAGAACAGAAGGAGGAAGTGGGTCGTTGGGGGGGTGTCAGATAAATTGTCTGGTCAAGCAGGCTGTGGCCCAGACCTCAGGCTGCCCGAAGGAAGGCTGGGTCCATGGAGAGCAGCTGCCCCGAGTCCAGAGGGTCTGAGCAGACTCTGGGCCAGGCCAGGGCCGCCAAGGACACCCGGGCTGCCTTCAGCGCTCCTTCCGAGTGCCCCCAGATGCTCATGAGCCTGCGGGACGGGTGGATGGGGCTCCCCTATGGGGGGATGTTGGGGGGCCCAGCTCAGGGCCCTCCCCAGGCCACGGGCAGCCTCTCCACCTGCTGTGGCCCAGCCCCTCCTCCCAAAGCTCCTGGAGCTGCTTTATCGCGCTTGCCACACGGAGCTTGTTTCCAGATGAGCTCAGCTTCCAGGGCGCGTCTACTCTCAGTTCACCGGCAGACCAGAGCTCGGCGGAAGCCACATCACAAAAGTGACAAGGGCCGAAGCCACCTCGCCAGAGTGACAGAGGCTGCTGCCCGCGATTCCGGCAGGACGGATGGACAGATGGCAGGAGTGGGGGTCAAGGCCAGCCCCAAGAGAGCTCACTCTCTCGACCGTGGGGCTGCCACCCTCTTTGGGGGTCCGAGCACTGAGTGGGCACCAGGGGCAGGGGACTGATGTGCCAGGGATTCTGCTTGTACCTTATGTCCTGGGGCGCCTGCTTCACCCTGTACGGAAAAGAGCAGGATTATGACAAAATCAGACTTGCAGCACAGTGGACAGAGGAAGGCACATCGCCCTGCCAGGAACTGTGCCCCGACCCGGGTCCCTGCTTTGCTGCCTGTGCCGGTTTAATAGTTTCTGAGGCTGTTGCCGCTGTCATCCCCCCTTTCTGGTGTGGTTGGGGTCCTGAAAGGGAAGCCACAAGGGACGCCAAGCCTGGTCCCAATGCTGGACCTGGCTACACGTGGGGCCTGGGGCCTGGATGCCTCCCCAAGAAGGGCCCTTCAGCTCAGCCACAGGCTTAGAGCAGTGAGGGGCATTTACAGCCCGCGTCCCCTGCTCAGTCCAAAGCAGTGCAGCTCTCATCTGAGGTCATGCTGGAGACCGCTCCCCAGGGGGCCAGACGCAGGCGACTCCCGCCAGGTCCACCCACAAACGCCTGGGGCCCCGGCTCCTTGCGTCAGTCCGACAGAGGCTCATGGCCACTGCCCCGTAACCAACGTGGAAGCTTGGAGTAAGATCTCAGATCTCGCAGGGTGCCCATGTTCTTAAAACCCGTGAGTCCACTCATCATCACAGGGTTATGAATTTCTACCCAAGCCCCAGCCGCCCAGGTCAGGGTGACCTCCAGAGCGCGAGGCCCCAGGCTGTGGGGCTGTGATGGGGGGCTATTCCTGGCATTTCCCCTTCACGGGCGTCACCAGGCACCCCCGGACCCGGGCCACATGGTGTGGTGCTGGTTCCCACTCACCCTGGACTCGAGGGAAGACTTACCAGGCTGCCTTTCTGCCCAGTCCTTCCTGGGGGCCCCTCTCTTCCCGGAGGGCCTGGGGGTCCCTGGGGGAGAGCAGAGCATAGTGGGTCTTGATGGCATTCGGCCACTAAAACGATTTCTGGGTTAACAGGTTATCTGGGCTTCCGCAGGTTTCCAGAAGGCAGGACACAGAACGTTCCCCAGACACAGGGCCAGAGTCCCAGGGCTCACGGGAGACCCCACAGCCTGCGTAGCCCGCAGTTTCGCGGCCACATTGGCAGGATGAGATGGCAGAGCCGACAGCACCACGGCGGGAAGATGCTTGCACACCAGGGCTGGGGTAGCCGCTGCTCCCTCTGAGAGGCAGTCTGGCCACATGCGTGAATATGGATTAGGCATGTTCTTTAAGCCCAAATTCCCCTCAGAATGGATTCTGGGGAGCACTTGCCATGCGGCACCCAGAGAGGCCTCAGAGCCGATGGTGACGGTGAATGCCCATCGGTAGGGTTGGCTGGCTCAGGTAGGGACTGTTACGGAGGCAGGGGCATGTCATGGGTGACCTAACCCCACACTCCCTGCCCTGCACGTCATGGCATGCTACCGAGTGACCCCAGGCCACGGGATGCCAGTGCAGCATGACCCAATTACAGCAGCCACGTCTGCACCTGCTGCCAGTCATGACCTGCTGCCCATCATGTGTGGCACAGCTGGTGGGGCAGGCACCTGCTGCCAGTCATGACCTGCTGCCCGTCATGTGTGGCAGAGCTGGTGGGGAGCCTGCCGTGGGGACCTGAGACCCTACGAGCCGCGTTGGCCAAGCAGGCTCCTCCCTCCCCTGGCCCTCCAGCAATGCTGACCTCGGCCCTCCCACACCCACCCATGGGAATTGCTCATGGAGACGCTCTCTGTGCAGTCCGTGGACCCACAGGGCCAGAGAGGTCGGAGGCCTTGCTTGCGGTCACCCCCACTGGTCAGCACCCCTAGAACCATGGGGTGGCCACTCAGGTGCTTCCGCACACCCCAGGGTGGCCCCGAGTCAGCAACTGCCCGCCAGCTCCTAGAGGAGATGAGGTGAGGAGGCGGGGACTGGGGAGGCCTGAGGCGGGGCAGGGGCTCCCATGTGGGGTGTTCACCCCTCACTCCCAGCAGACAGGGCTCCCGACACTGACGGTGGAGGCAGGACTTACCGGGAGGCCAGGAAACCCGGGGGGACCCTCGCGCCCAGGCACACCAGGAAGGCCGGCGGGTCCTGGGACGTCGGAGCTGTTCACCCCAAAGCGGCCTGGCTCGCCGGGCAGGCCTGGGACACCGGGGGGTCCGGGAGGTCCAGGGAAGCCTCGAGGACCCTGGACGTGGGCGAACACAGATAGTCACAGCCCATGTGGCACCCACCAGGGATGACCACCACCCCCAGAACGGGCCTCATCCCCACCCCCCACAGGACCCCAGCTGAATCTTGGGGGTCCATGGCCTGTTCCTCATGGGCACAGACATCGGGCAGCGCTGCAGTTTAAGGGCCACTCACCCGCAGGGCCTCCAGATCGCCCCCGAAGCCAGATCCCTCCATGTCAATGAAGGTCTGAGGAAAAGAGCCGGAGAGACACGTTGCCCTGAGCTCGGCCCCCCGCCTGGCCTACTCCTGGCCCCTGCCCCGCAAGCTGCATATCGAGCTGTTTCTACAAGGAGCTGAGAAACCACGGCCCCTCTGCTGCCCCCAGAGAAGCCTGAAGGCAGGTGGATGGGGGCTCCCACCACACCTGTGACCCCTCAGCTCAGCCAAGACCCCACGCAAGCCCCTGAGGGTGGAGCTGATACTTCTGGGCCAGAGGCAGTGCCTGCTTTTGAGGAGGGCAGACCCCGGGTCGCAGGAAGCCAAGGGCGGGACTTACCAGCTTGTCGTGTCTGAAGGAGGGTCCTGGGGGCCCTGGAGGCCCTTGGGGTCCTGGGGGCCCTCTCTCTCCAACCCCAGGGTCTCCCTGGGAACACAAGACAAGCCTATCATACCCTGGGCACGCACACAGCCCCCACCTTGAGCCAAGGGCCAACACAGGAAGGGGCCCCACCCAGCCACGGAGACTCACCTTGTCGCCCTTGGGACCTACGTCCCCTGGAGTCCCGGGGAAGCCTTGTGGCCCGGTGTCGCCCTGGAACACAACATCCGGGGGCCCGGTCAGGGAAGGCACCACCATGGGCCGCACCCAGCACTCTCAGTGCTCCTCCCCCAAGCAGGGGACGGACGGGAGCTGAGCCCTTCAGGGGAGTCTCTGGGGCCCGGAAAGTACGAGGGCGCCAGGCCCAGCAGACTGTCTCCCGCCTGAGCCCATTTCGCCAGCCACGCCTGGGGGAAGCTGCGGGCAGCATCCCTCGGGAGGTCACAGCAGGTTCCCCGAAGGCCTCCACAACAGCTGGTGCTTGGGTGTTACATACATGTGTGTGTGTGTGTGGTATGCATGGTGTGTGTGTGAGGAGTGTGGTGTGTACATGTGTGATATGTATGTGTGATGTGTGAGTGTGCATGTATGGTGTGCATAATCCATGGTGTGCACATGTGTGCACACGTGGTATGTGTATGTGTGTATCCACGTGTGGTATGTGTAATGTGTGGTGTGTGTGCATGTGTCCACGTGTGATGTGTGCACGTGCGTGTAGCATGTGTGCATGCGTCCACCTGTGGTGTGTGTGCACACACGTGTGTGTAGTGTGTGTATGCAAGTGTATCCACGTGTGGTGTAATGTGTGGTGTGTGCACACATGTGTGTAATGTGTGTGCATGTGTCCACGTGTGGTGTGTAATGTGTGGTGTGTGATATGTGCTGTGTGTGCATGTGTGGTATGTGTACGTGTGGATCCTCACCCCCCCACACACACGCGCAGTCACACATTCACACACTCAAACACATGCACATACATACACACGTGTGTGTGCCCTGTGGGTGGGCCCCGTGGATCATCACCCCACACTCACACGCGTGCGTGTACCCTGTTGCAGTGGGTGGGCCCCGTGCCGCCCCCCAGCCGACTGTCCTTTGTCTGCCGTGGTCCTCATCGCAGGCAGCTTGGCTGTGGGGTGCCAGGCGGTCGGTAATGACCGTTCGGTGGGCACCATGAGATGCCCTCCCTGTCCTTTCAGACCTTCTAGACTGTTTTTAACTTGAACCCTCCTGTCCAGCGTTCGTGACGGCCCCACTTTCTGCCGAGTGTTACCATTTGCTGGGCAGGCTGTTCCCAGGTCTTTATTCGCAGTCGATCACGTCATTACTGTGCTTGGAAACGGTGTTTGCTGATTTTTAAAGACTGAACTGCGTGTTTTGCGACGAAGCTCGGACTTCACAGAGTCTCAGGTCGCCCCGTGCTTCCCTCCCCCGCCGACTTGCACCACCCCCTGCCCCGCCCGACTTCCTTTTTCTTTGCTGTGCGTCTTCCCTCTAAGGGTTTGGAAGCTCTGCCTTTTCTCACTTCCTTTCCTTCTTCATGGTAGTTGTGGCCCAAATGTCTCAACACAAATGCATAACTGCTATTTCCCATCAACAGTTACACTCATCTTTTCTTTACAAAATTCCACTTTCAAAATGGTTTTGCTGTACAGTCTCCTCACTGGGTCGCGTTTAAAAAGAGTGTCACTGGCAACAAAGCCCTGGGGTCTAAGCAAACATCACAGATAACACAGGGGTCAGAAAGAAAAGCAGACTCACCGGCTTTCCGTCTTCACCGGGGTCGCCCTGGGTGTGCAAGAGAAGCCATTAGTGATGGGAAATGACTCCTCCGGCGCCACCTACAGTGTCTACATGGAAATGCACCCCACGCTCCAAGTCCCCACGAGGCGGCAGACGCCTTCCCCCGATGTCCTCGCACCCGCGCCAGGAGCCTCCTCACACCCACAAGGGCTGTGTCTGAGCAGCTCCGCCTCCCACGTCTGACCACCTTCCAGCACCAACCCCGAGCAACGGTGGGCCTAAGGAGGCTGCTGACCTGCCCCGATCCCAGCTCAGCTCACTCCCATGTCGGCCGCAGCCTCTCCCCCTCCTACCCAAGCCCCCACCCTCCAGACCGGGCCGGACTCGGGGGGACGTGAGGACTCACCGGCTCGCCGTCCCTTCCAGGGGTGCCGTCCCTCCCCGGAGGCCCTGGGGGTCCTTGTGGTCCGGGGACAGTTTGCAACGCTGGGCCTGCAGGACCCAGGGGACTCACTGGGCACGGGAGACCCGGGGGACCAGGTAGGCATGGGGATCCTGGGGGGCCTGCCCGGCCAGGTGGGCCCGGAACACCTGGCTCCCCTTTCTGCCCCTTCAGGCCGCCCTGGGAATAAACAGAACACAGGGCTCGGGCTGGGGTGGGGCCCCACACACCCTGCCCACGTGTCCCGCTGCGCCCTCCAGAGTCCCAGGCTGGGCTGCTTCCCACAGTGGACACGCAGGGTGGACGCATGCTGGCACCGAGTGCTGGGCACAAAGGAGGCACGGGCACAGAGGGGCTTCATCAGGGCTCACCAGTGAGTGGCCCAAAAGGCCACAGGTGCTCTGGTTCAGAATGGTTCAGGAGCACAGGGAGGTGGCCTTACCTCTTTCACGCGGCCCCCAGGGGTCCGGACACTCCCGTCCCACGTGGAGACAGAATCTGAGCCAGGAAGTGTCTGAGCTGGGAAGAGAAGCAGAGGTGGCCACGGTCACGCCCCCCGGGTGGCCCCAGCTCTGCTCTCGGCACCCCAGACGGCCCCGGCAGCCCAAACGCTTTCAGTCCTGGAGCCCGGCTGGACACTGTCAGATCCCCAGCCTCAGGCCGCACTCCCCTGAGCTCCAGCTCCCAGGCAAAGGCAACAGGGAGACAGAATTTAAAATCAACAGTGAGGCCGGTGTGGCCATCTAAGCCAATGACAGCTGAAGTCTGGGAGATGCTTCCTGAATTTGTTACAAGAGACCCTGGCCCCCCAGAATGCCTTCTTATCACCCAGCATGCTTTGTCCCTTTTCCTTTTTCCCTCTTAACTTTTACTTAAAATAAAAATGAAAACCAACAGAAATCCTGCAAGAGAAGCACAGTGAACACCCAGAGCCTGTACCCAGAGCCACCATCCGGGCCTCGGCATCTCCCCACCTGCCACACACACACACACACACACACACACACAAAACACATAATACACATCACACACATGTACATTACACATGCACATCACACACATACACACAATACGCACACTACACATCACATACAACACAACATGCACTGCACACCACACACGTACACTACACGCAACACACACACCACACCACACACAATACACACACCACACACTGCACACACACATGCCCACATGCATGCACCATACACACTACATACACATCACATAAACATCACACATGTCACAAACATGCACATCACACACCACACATCAAACACCTGCCATATATTTCACACAAACACGTGCCATATCACACACACATGTACCATATACACCACACACTACACACACCATACATCACACACATACCTCACCATCACACAAACACACGTTACACACCACACACACCCCACACCACACACACACCACATCCAGAAAAGAGCTTACCTCCTAACGAAGCCACCGTGGTCTGCTCCTCGACTTCTTCACTTCTGGAATCTTCCGTGCTGCTGCCTCCAGCCAAGGGTGGCGTGGTGACGGGGGGTGGCGCGGGGAGCCTGGGTTTTAGGGCCGCGCCCTGGAGGACGAGAGGGGAGGTGGCCTGTTATTCGGCCGGCAGATGCCCGGTGGAGACTTGCTTGGTTTGTGAAATGAAATACTTAAGATCGCAAGAAAGATAAAGAAAAATCCTCTGAAACAGGAGGGTGCTCCAGGGCCGTGCGCGAGGGGCTTCCTTCCGTGGGCCGCAGGGGTGTGGCCGCCTGTGGGCTCCCCGGCTCCCCAGGACCCAGGACCGCGCCTGCCGTCACCACAGAGGCCTCCCGGCGCCCGACAGGCCATGCTGGGAAGCTGATGTGAATCTGCAGAGGGTCCCCGCAGGGAACACGTTCCCGCACCCGTCTCTCACGGACAGCACCGCGCCTCAGTCCCGCGGCTGGGGCCTCCCCACTCCCCGCCCCTCCTGTGTTTTCTCAGGTGGCCCGAGCTGGGGAAAGCCTTCCGCGCGCTCCCTGCGCCGCCTTCTCCTCCTGGTCGTCAGGCTCACACACGCGTTCATTCCCTGATGGCCACGCACGAGCTAACGGAGGGATGGGGCGAAGGGAAGGCCAAGGTTGCCTCGAAGACCAAGGAGTGTGCAGGGCAGGACCTCGTTTTAAAGGAATATCCTCTCACCAGAGACACGCGGCGGCCAGGCAGGGCCGGAGCGGGGCCTGTGCCCAGGCTCCGAGCGTCTGCCCAGCCCAGCATCCCTGTCCCCAGCCAGGAATATGTCTTCGTGGCATAGAGGGAGCTCTTGGAGCCACACCTGCGTGTGCACATGTGTCACCCCACTGCTGGGAGGGGCTCTCCCGGGACCCTGCAGCGTGGGCTGGGCCCCGTCCGGCTACTCACCGTCTCCTCCCTGAGAAGCTCCCGGGCGTCCCCGAGCCCGCTGCCAGAGTCTCCGGATGCCTGAGGAGTTTGAAAAGGGAAAGGCTGGAGAGATGGCAGCCAGGCCAGGCCCCGAGCCCGGCAGGCCTGGGAAGCAAAGGACGCTGCTCTCGCCTCCTCCAGGCCCCCTCTCGCCTCGTCCAGCCCTCTCTGGTGCTCTCCGGGGGGCCGCTGGGGTGGGCACGCTGGCCTTCCCTGCCCAGGCACCATCTGAGCTTCAGTAAGTCGTGTCCAATCGGGTCGAGGACAGTGACGCTTCTGAACCTGCCTCGGCCGGTGGTCAGACATGCGGAGGCGGGAGGGGGAACGCGCTCCTCTCTTCTGGCCAGAGCCCTGCCCTGGAGGAGGCCGCACCGCAGATGCTCCCCGCACAGGTTTCCCCAGCGCACGCCCGGCTGGGCCGAACACGCGCCAAGGCGGCTGGATGTTTTAAACTTCAGGAAAACCCGGAGGAGAAACATCCTCAGGGACCGCTACTGACCCCTGAGGGCAAGACAGGCCAGGGGAGGGGTGCGGCGCCTCGGCGACCCCCCGCACCCAGCAAGCTGTCCCAGGGCGCAGCCTTGTCATGGCCGCCATGTGAACGATCTGGCGTCTTCTGGCATGTTCCAGGCAAAAACAACGGGCTTATTGGGCAAAATAAAGAAAAAGCATGAAAGTAACATGGATGTTCACACACTGCCCACAGTCCAGCCACGGTGTCTCCTGCCCACGCCCCCAGGAGCGAGGCTGTGGGTCCACGTCCACGGCGTCTCCTGCCCACGCCCCCAGGAGCGAGGCTGTGGGTCCATGTTCACGTGGGGCATGTTGTGATC
This sequence comes from Homo sapiens, assembly GCF_000001405.40. Classification (NCBI taxonomy): domain Eukaryota; kingdom Metazoa; phylum Chordata; class Mammalia; order Primates; family Hominidae; genus Homo; species Homo sapiens. The sequence goes on along the minus strand of NW_025791815.1, from coordinate 91,916 downwards.
TGGGCCCCTGAGTGAGAATTCCCTGCTGTTCCTCACACCTGGGGCTGGGGGATTCTCCCCTTGGGTACCACGTGATTCCACACACCCCACCAACACACACGCCACACAACACACAGACACAGACACAGAGACACACGCACCATGCAGACATGCAGACACAACACACAAGACAGACACACCACAGAGACACACCACACACACAGAGACACACCACACACAGAGACACACTACACACAGAGACACACCACAGACACACACGACACACAAGACAGACACACCAGAGACACACATACAACACACACAACACACAAGACAGACACACCACACAGACACACACACATCCACACACAACACACAAGACAGACACACCACAGAGACACACCACACAAGACACAGAGACACACCACACAGACACAGACACACACACACACTTTGCTGAGCTGCCTCACATCCTCTGTCTCACCAGCTGCCATGGAGGGTGGTTTCTGGTGTTTATATCATGCTTTGTATTTGTTTTTATGGGAAAGTTCAGGGCAAGGAAGGGCTCTGAGGTGCTACAGGAGAGCACAGAAATGGTATCGCAGCTTCCCAGTGCCCCAAGTGGTATATTTTGGGACTTTTCCTGTCATAGACCTTGGCCCTGAACTCCGCGTGCCAGGGATTGAGGGGAGACCCCACCCGTGCCCCAGATGTCACTCACCCCATCTGAGTCATCGCCTTCCTCGTCCAGGCAGTGCATGGGGCTCACCTGGGGGTCCCTGCGCACCTTCAGCTCAGCGATCACCCCCTAAATGCAGACAGAGAAAGGGGTCACCAGCGGTCCTGAGGTGGCAGTGGCAACCCCGGTGCTGCTTGAGCTCCAGATTTCGGGGGGCCCACAAAGGGCAGGAGAGTCTCGGAGAGGGAAGGGGTCTCGGGCAGCCTCCCTGGGGGTGCGGTATGCCTCATGGTAGGAAGAAGTGGTGAGACCCAGGGGCGTCCTGGGCGCTTTCATGTGGAAAGCACCCGGCTGGGCGGAGGCTGCTCCCTCAGACTTGGCTCATCTGAGGCAGCTGATGGGCCACCTGAGGGCTACGGGTTTAGAACCACAGCAGGTGTGGCTCGATCCAAGGCCTGGGAGGGCGGGCAGATTCGAGGGGCTGCAGGTCAAGTCCCCCAACCCCAAGTCCCGGGAGCTTTACGCAAGCACCAGGCGGCCTCATCTCCCGACTCGGACCAACCGAGGTGGCACCATGGCTTTGCTTTCTTTGAACTTCACCTTTTCATCAAAAACAAAACCCAGAAGCCAAGGACAGAAACGCCGCAGATGTAGGGGAGTTTCCTGGATCTCTGCGCCCATTCCGTCCGGACCCAATCTCACTCACTCACCCACCTACCCACCGCTCCCTCTGGCATCTTCAGTCCTGGGCTGAGTGCCAGGGTGCCTGACCCTGCCCTCTCGGGCCCTGGCGCGGCCGGCGGTGCCTGGTGAGATGCAGGCCGGGGATGCTGGGCAAGGACACAGGAGGGCGCAACGTCCTAAGCCTCAAGCGGGTAGCTTGCCTGGTGGGGAGAGGACGCTGGGAGGGGCTTTGACAGGAAAAGGGGCTGCCAGGTGGGGGCTGCGCACAGTACCAGGGGCTCCACTGGCCGCACTGCGGGTTCTGCATCCTGGCCTAGATTTCAGAGCCAAGCGAGGCCAGCTGGAGCCTGGGGCTCCCCATGCCGGCTGGGCCCCCAAAGCCCAGGCAGGTGGCTCAGGAGTGGGGCTGAGCCTGCAGGACGGGGTGTGAGTGCTGAGTGTGTGGGCACATGTGCGTGAGAGCATGCATCTGCATGGACACATGTGTGCAAACATGAGATCACGTATGCACGCGTGTGAGCTCATGCGTGGGGGGGTGTGGACCCTGTGGGCCCCCTGGGTTTCCCACAGGTTTCCCACAAAACGCACCAGCGGTTCTCAGCCTCACAGAGCGCACCAGCGGCTCTCAGCGTCACACTGCGGGGGAGGGCGTTGCCTACAGTGCCCCCAGGTCGGCCAGGGGCAGCACCGTGGGGTCCAGGGTCCACTGTCCACCAGGACCTACTGCGTGGGGGTGGGGCAGCAGCCCAGCAGCTGAGCCTTCACATTCAGGAGCCCCCAGGTCAGGCCCAGGGAGGAGCTGGGGTTGAATTCTAGAAAACTGCGCTTCGGCCGGGCGCAGTGGCTCACGCCTGTAATCCCAGCACTTTGGAAGGCCGAGGCGGGTGGATCACAAGGTCAGGAGATTGAGACCATGGGGAAACCCCGTCTCTACTAATAATACAAAAAATCAGCCTGGCCTGGTGGCGGGCGCCTGTAGTCCCAGCTACTTGGGAGGCTGAGGCAGGAGAATGGCGTGAACCCGGGAGGCAGAGCTTGCAGTGAGCCGCAATCGTGCCACTGCACTCCAGCCTGGGCGACAGAGCGAGACTCCGTCTCAAAAAAAAAACAAAAAAAAAAAACTGCGCTTCTCCACTGGGGCAGCCCGGGCGGGGGGTGCATCTTGGGTGGTCTTGGTGTCGGGGAGGGACTGGGCATTCCTGACACCCGATCCCCACACAGACATGCACTGTCCAGAGAGGCCCGTGAGGCCCTGACCCCCCCACAGGTGGCCACAGCGCTCTCCTGAGAGTGCCCCCGAGGGGCCGACGCCTCCTGCACGGGGCTACAGGGTGCCTGGGTGGGGGGCGACTACAGAGGGCAGAGAAGCTCTGAGCCCGTGGTGGCCGCTGGCTCCGGGGGTGGGGCAGGAGGCGCTAGTGCAAAAGCCACAGGCCCATTGTAAATATTTAAGGGACTTCGGACTGAAAGTTATGAAATCCGGAGACACCTGAAACAGAGCTCACAGGAATTCTGTGAGGGAAGAGCATGTAAAATGCTTCCCGACACGCTGCAGCCTCAGCGCCCTGGAAATCAGGACACAGCTGGAAATCAGGACACAGCTGGAAATCAGGACACAGCTGGAAATGACGTTCAAGGCAACGGCAGCAGCTGGGAGGGGTGCATGATTTCCCGGGAGACGACCACTGACAAACCTGACTCAAGAAAGTGAACCTGAAAAGACCAACAACGCCCAAGGACTCTTAGGACGAGGAACACAACCAATGCTCCGGAGGGCTCTGTTGGACCCAGCTGCGGCCGGGGGTCCCAGGCACCATCTGTGGCAGCGCCAGGGTCGATGCAGTCTTGTGGAGAGGCTGAGGAGGAGGAAGCCTCGGTTTCCTCCCTGCTCCCAAAGCTCTGTGCTTGTTTCTGCCAAAAATTATGAGTCACACAACTTGAATGTTTCTTTCCCAAGTATCTCAATTCAGAAGTCTGAGAAAATCTTGTGCTGAACAAGTCTGTCTTCTTTTCTACCACACAAGCATGCTTCTCCTCTCCCCAGCTGGAATCTCATCTAAGACCCAAAGAGAAAGTTCCTGACACCTGAGGCCTGCAGGGACCTGACACAGAGATCAACCAACACAGCCCTCAGCACACGGCCCATAGCGCGCCACCCACGCCCAGCAGCACACGGCCTGCTGCACGCCACCCACGCCCAGCAGCACAAGGCCCGTAGTGCGCCACCCAGGCCCAGCAGCACACGGCCCGTAGCGCGCCACCCAGGCCCAGCAGCACAAGGCCCGTAGCGCGCCACCCACACCCAGCAGCACAAGCCCGTAGCACGCCACCCAGGCCCAGCAGCACGAAGCCTGTAGCGCGCCACCCACGCCCAGCAGCACACGGCCTGCTGCACGCCACCCACGCCCAGCAGGGCCCCAGCCCAGGGCCAGACCCAGGGCCCTCTAGCTCCCTCCTGTTCCAGCTCTCTGACCTTCCAAGGTTTCACTGGGCTGTTGTAAGTCATGGTGTCTTCTCCAGGCCAGATTTAACCACATAAACACATCAAATCCCAGCTGGGTGCAGTGGCTCACGCCTGTAATCCCAGCACTTTGAGAGGCTTAGGCGGGTGGATCACCTGAGGTCGGGAGTTCGAGACCAGCCTGACCAATATGGTGAAACCCCGTCTCTACTAAAAATACAAAAATTAGCTAGGCATGGTGGCAGGTGCCTGTAATCCCAGCTACTTGGGAGGCTGAGGCAGAAGAATCGCATGAACCTGGGAGGCAGAGGTTGCAGTGAGCCGAGATCACCCCATTGCACTCCAGCCTGAGCAACAGAGCGAGATTCCATCTAAAAAAAAAAAAACAAAAAAAAAACCCACAAAAAAACCACACATCCAATCCCAATAGTCAAAAAAAAAAAAAAAAAAAAAGACAAGGTAAAAAGGCAAATGACATGGTAGAAATAAAATCTGCAGCATGCAAAACCAAAGAGAAGTTTCTTTTAAAGATAAGGAGTTTGTATAAATCACTGAGAGTTGGGCCCATTGAAAACCACAAAGAACATAAACCGGTCAGTCACAAAGGAAGAAATACAAACAGACAATAAACAAGTGACAAAATGAAAGTCTATCTTCACAGTCCAAGAAATGCAAAATTAAACACCCAGACCCCCTCTTCCTACACACGGGACTTCGCTGATGAGGAGGCCCTCACCGCAGGGCGGTGGCCCGGCTCTCCCTAGCACCATCGGGGCACAGCTGTGCACCCACGTACCGAGCTCTCGGCACTCAGCCGCTTTTCCTAACAGTGTTAAAGATGTACGGCACTTGTGGGCCACTTTATTCCACCAAGAAACGGCTGGGGACTCACACAACAAATTGCCTCTCACTGGAGGGGGTGACTCTGACTTCTTTCCCGGTAATCATGTTTGTGATCAAGAGGAAAACAAAGAGGCCCAGTTTGGTGTCAACGTCCTAGCGGCTCCTGAGCTCTGAGGGTTAAAAGTTCCTGCCAAAGGTGAAAAGTCAGCTTTCAGAACCCCCAGACACCAGGACTTAGAACAACTTCAAACAAACAGCCCTTGTCTGGGCAATAATTAACCTTCTGTCCCCTGCGGCCCGCCAGGGCAGGGGCGTCCAGCTGCAGGCCAGCTTGAATGCTAGAATTCAGGGACTTGTGAGACAGTGCCAGCTGAGGTCACCCACGTGGCTGTTCCCAGCCAAAGGTTCCCAGAAATGCAGGGGCTTTGGACACAGACCCCACATGGGTTTAGGGATCTGTCCACCCCCCCAACCCCAAGAAATGAAGGCCCACTGGAGGGACTTCCCGGAGACTCAGGTGGAGGCGGCCACGTGCGTTCACCGCTGGGGGACTCCCACCACGTGCTCCAAAGTGGAGTCTCACAGGCGTGGGTTGCTGCACCCTTTGTTAAAGGTGCTGACCTGCAGGGCCGCCCTGAGCCCCTGGTCCCAGCGGGTGTGCAGCTACCACAGGAGAACCCTGCTGGGATCAACACCCTGCTGCCGCCAGCTTTGGATCGTTCATCGTTTTCAACAAGGACCCCAGCTTTCATTCTGCATGGGGCCACGAGGCGTGTGGCTGGGCCTGGACTCGGTCCCCACTTACCCGACCGGCCGGTCAGAGGCCGGGAGCCCCACTTCACCACAGGGCTTGGCACAGGCCTGGGGGTGTCTCTGGGTCACGGGGTCACGGCTGGGGTGGATGTCTAGTTACAAAGTCGTTCAAAGAGGGCCCTCCTGGGCTGGGCCTCGGGGTCTCAGAGAAACCATGGAAGCCCAGGGCTACCCTTCCTGGGGGCGCAGGAGCCAGAGAGCCAAGAAAGTGAATGCCACCCCAGCCAGGCCGGCCAAGAACCCGGGAGGCCTGCGCCGGAGGCCAGGGCTGAGCAGCCAAGAACCCAGGAGGCCTGCGCTGGAGGCCCGGGCTGACCACAGCTGGGGTGGGGGCTCTCCTCTTCCGGCCACAGCTCCGTCCCTGTCCCAGTGGCCACCCCCACCCCACCCCATCCCAGCTGCTCCAGTCCCCCAGCGACGGCACAGTGGGGGTTACCTGGAACTTGTCAGGGTCCGCTCCCCCCGCCTGAGCCACGAAGAGCCCGGCGCCAGGCTCCAGCTCCAGGCCCCGTGAGGACCGAGCAAGCGGCATTCTCTGGAACTCCTCACAGTCCACGTAGAGGGCCACAAAGCCACCTGCCACACTGAGGGCTAAGTGTGTCCACTGGCCGACGAAGGCGGGGAGCCGGAAGCTGGCGGCTGTGTGGGTCTGGCCTGCACCTGGTTCTGTGTAGAGCAGGGAGATGTCCTGGTGCCCGTCCTGCACCCCAGAGAGCTTCACGCCCAGCAAGACCATGGCCTGCGCCGAGTCCGTGATGGCGAACAGCACCCCTGGGCCCTCTGTGGCTGGCCGGATGTGGAACAGCAGTGAGAAGTCACGGAAGAAGAGGCTGGGGAAGTGGTACCGGGCCACTTGGCCACTGTTGGCATCTGGCCCAAAGACGTAGGCCAGCCCGACGTCGGGGTCATCCGTCTGGGTGACCTGCTGGGGCGGGGGGTCCCCAAGGAGCTGCAGCAGCCCCACCTCCTCGCTGATGCGCTCTGCAAAAAGAAAGACAGCTGGTGAGGTGGCTGTGCAGGACGGAACCAGGGGCCACCGACGCGGCCTGGAGAGGCAGCCAGGCAGGGGCAGAAAGGAGAAACTGAGTCTGGGAGGGCTCTCCACGTGCCTGGCAGCCTGCCCTGATCCCCTGGGCTCAGCCACCCAACGGCCACCCTGGTTCACTCATTCCCAAACGACAGGCAGGCTCCATGCAGAAACCTGTGTGCAGGGGACATGGTGTCTGCAGGAGACATGGTGTCTGCACGGGACATGGTGTCCACAGGCCCCCTTCCATGCTTTGAGCAGGGATGGGCACAGCAGACATGGTGTCCACAGGCTTCCCCTTCCATGCTTTGAGCATTGATGGGCAGAGCCAGTGGGGAGAAGGGACCAGGGACTGGCCGGCACCCCCGCTGGGGCAAGGAGCTGTGAGGGGCTGGGGCTGGCAGCCTTCCCGCCCGGCCCTGTGCCCTGCCCGCCCACTCTGACCCTGCTGGAGCAGCCCAGGCCGGCACCCCAGCCTGGCCTCCACTGTGAAGCCACAGTTCCACCACAGGGAAGGAGGGAGGCTGACCCCACACCCCAGTGTTCTTCGAAGCCTCGGCTACGGGGCGTCGCCCAGAGTGGCTGCCTCAGCTGGGGTTCCACGTGGCATCTGAGGACACGGTGCGGGATTTCACCCAGCGCTGTCGGTCACCGGCTCACCTGCTGGGCCAGGTGCTTCATGTGGCAAGGACAAGCTGTATCTCCCCATCCCCCCCATGCTGATTCCCCTCGGGGCCACAATCACCCCTTGGAGGGGCTGCATGCCTGACGTACCTGCCAACGTGCCACAGTCTCCCCACCAGCCCCGCTGCTCCGTGCAAATGCCCCACAGCGCCGGGTGACTCACTCCACTCATTCCTGCCCAGGCGGAGCTTGACTTCACTTCGACTCAGTAGCCCAGGGTCAGAAGGAGCCCTGTCCATCCCTCGCCCAGGGAGCCCAAGCCAGGACGCAGCCCCGGTGCCCAGAGTTCTCACACCTCGTTTCCTGCCCACGGGAGGGGGGCAGCACCCACTCAAGGGCAGACCCTGCTCAGAGTGACTTCCCAGCACACCTGCCGTGCCAGGCAGAGCCCGGGCTTTGCAGCCACAGTCTGGGCCAGGGGCAGAGGGGTCCCAACGGGCTGAGCCTGGGCTCTGGGGGCCAGCGGTCACATCCCCCTCAGACAGAGGCCGCCGTCCACCCAGATGGCAGCTGTTACAATGATCGTCCATCCAGATGGCAGCTGTTACAATGATCCTTTTTCTCATAAGAAGTGCCTGGTCCCACATGTCCAAGCTGGGGCTGTGATAAGATCAGGAAACAGGACTCGGCCTGGGGGCCAGAGGCCGTGCCAGCCACCCAGCTGCCCCCGCGTTCACCTTGGAGAAACCTCCCACCACCCTTCCTAGAACATTCCGTCATTGGGAAAGCAAGATGCGGCAGCTGCCACCTTCCTGGGCTGGAGGGTACCAGCACGCTACACCGGCGGCCCCAGGGACCCCAGTGACAGCAACGCCCTTTCCAAAGCTGTCCCGTCTCCTCTCCACGAAGCTCCTGGGGGCTCCCTTCAGAAGCCAGCTTCCAAATGCCCGGCCCTAAGATGCTGGATGGGCAGAGAATGGCGCAGCCTCCACTCCCCGAGGTACAGGCCCAGCTGTCTCAGATGTCCTGGAATCAAACAGCAAATGCCTGAACCCCATTTCGAGAGCTCAGCCTTCCCGGGTGCGAGAGCTCAGCCTTCCCGGGTGCGAGAGCTCAACCTTCCTGGGTATGGTGGGGCGGCCCCTCCTGCTGGACCACCTCCCTTTGGATCAAGGTGCTTGCTTCTTTAAAGACCATTTCCCCCTCAGGAATCAGGCCAGCCAGAAGTGTGGATGGTTCTGGAGGCCTGTGTGTGTTAACAGAGGCCCCTTTAAATATGCCCAGGACAGACAGTGCAGCCAGCATCCTCCCCGCAGGAGAGCAGCGGGTACCTCTGGCTGGGACTCTCCGCTGTTCTCACACCAGTGTGGAACGTCCCCGCCCCTCCCCTTGGGTCCCTTATCTTAGGGGACCGGGGACGTCCATCCCTTCTGCAGTGGCAGCCTCTGAGCCAAAGCGCCCTCTCCCAGAAGCCGGACTTTCCAGGACCCTCACTCCCAGCCTCACCCTGACACGGCCTGACTGGGGGTCTCCTGTGAGTCCCATGCTCGGCTTTGTCTGACACCTCCCAGGACAAGACCGTCCCTTCTCCCCAAACTGGGCTCTCCACCAAGAGCCGCGTTCACCCACGGGGGAGTGGGCTCCAGACAGGCCAGTCCTCGAGGGCCACACCCAATGTCCTGCATCCCTCACGGCCACCGTGGCTCCGAAGAAAAGGGCAAACCCCTCAGAGACCCTCAGACACGTGCACTCCACGGACGCCCGCCTGTGCTCAGCATCAGGTGCTCCAGACACTCCCCAGAACCAGCCCAGCCTGACTCCTCGGGGCACAGGGCCTGGAGTCTCTGCTGCCCCTTTGAAGGGCTCCTGAGGACAAGATCCAAGGCTGCCTGGCCAGCCCCCCGCCCTCCAGCACAGCCCCCTCCAGTCCTGCAGAGCCAGGGCCGCTCGTGCCCACATGGAGTGCTCTCAGCCCACTTTCCAGGGAAAAGAGAAAATAACCACCTCAGTAAGACTCACACAGAGCTTCCGGAACCTGATCCAGAGCTTGAAGAGTGCGCCACCATCATCACTCCATCACACCATAGCACTTACGCAGTGAAGTGCCCGGGGGGACATCTTGGCATCAAAGAAAAACGGCCTCAGAACAAACACCTCCACCAAATCCCAAGGCTGCAGAGCCCCCACGGAAGGCTAAAAACAACCTAAGAAACGGGCCCCTGTCCCCGGGTGGAGACTTCCTGTTGACACTCGGACACGTTTACAACATTCAATCTCTCCACCGTCAGCGCTGACCCAAAACCCACGCCAGGCACAGGTGGGGTGGCTCAGCTGGTGTCTGATAAACAAAGGCGAGGCTGTGCGATGAACCCGCCAGTCGGGGCTGAGCAGGTGTCTGCAGGGTCATCTGTTATACAGAGAAGCAGAAATACCTGCGAGTGCTTCAGTCAGGAAGGGCTGAGGAAAAGACCAGAACAACACGAAGAGCAGAGCATCTCCCTGGAGTTATGGAGACTCCTGAGATGCAGGATAAAGGAAAGAGGAACTTTCAGACACAGGGCAATCCCATTAATGCAAAGTAAGACTCCCATGCATATGTACACATGTGCAGCCGTGCACATGGACAAACTGTGGTGGGCAGAGCCATGGCCCCAAGGATGTCCACGGCACAACAGCTGGAACCCACAAGCGTAATTTTACGTGGCAAGGGGATGCTGCAGCTGGGACTCAGGCTGTGGACCTGGAGATGGGAGATGATCCACTTCTAACCACACAAAGCCTTAAAATCGAAGGACAAAAGATGGCACCATGAGGACTTGTCCAACACCGTTGGCTTTGAAGGGGGAAGAAGGGGCTTTGAGCGAAGGGAAGCGGCAGCCTCTAGAGGCTGGAAAAGTCAAGAAAACAGATTCTCCTCCAGAGTCCCAGAGGGACCCAGCCCTGACAACACCTTGGTTTCAGCCCAGTGAACTGGTTTCAGACTCTGACCTCCAAAACTGAAAGGTAAGACAGCTGTGTTGGTTTAAGCCACTGAATTTGTGGCAATTTCTTACAGTCGCCAATAGGAAGCTACATACCTATATGCAAATTGGCACAAACCCATGGGGGGATGGACACGGTGCCCCCACCTGACCACTGCAGGTGGCCGTGGTTAGTGGGACTCAGGAGCTCTGTTCCACCCTCTCATGTGTGGCTGGAGTCTTGCCGAGGGCCTGCCTTATCTAAGAGGGTCTTTTTTGGCCCCAGGTTGGGCTGTTGACTTCTGGGACAGACTCCAGCCCACCAGGAAGATCTCATCCCCAAAATCCCATCCTGGGAAGAGGAAGAGATGAAAACGGGAGGCTTTGGAGCTCCCACCGAGGGACTACGGGATCCACCTCTGCCCCAGTGCCTGGGCACTGTGCTACTCCCGAGGGCTGGGCAACCTGGAAATGTGGTCACTCTGCCCCCGCAGATGTGTGTCTCTTCCTGAGAGCTAGAGGCTTCCATCATGGTTTGGCTCCAGCCCAGTTCTCAAAGCTCCAGCCTCTGAGCTCTGGACCCAGCCACAGTGCCCATAGGGAGTTTCTCCCCGCATTTGGCATAGCTGGGTGGCATCCAGGCTAGACACCTGCACATGATATAACAATGATGATGCCTCAAGACTTGATTTCTTTCCTTTTCTTTTTTTTTTTTAGATGGAGTTTCGCTCTTGTTGCCCAGGCTGGAGTACAGTGGTGCAATCTCAGCTCACCACAACCTCCACCTCCCAGGTTCAAGCAGTTCTCCTGCCTCAGCATCCCGAGTAGCTAGGATTACAGGCATGCACCACCATACCCAGCTAATTTTGTATTGTTAGTAGAGATGGGGTTTCTCCGTGTTGGTCAGGCTGGTCTCCAACTCCCGACCTCAGGCGATCCGCATGCCTCGGCATCCCAAAGTGCTGGGATTACAGACGTGAGCCACCATGCCTGGCCAAGACTTGATTTCTTGACAGAAAGAAACGTGTTTGAAAATGATTCTGGAGTACTCTGGTAAATGGCAGATGGAAAGCGCCAGGAATCCATCTCCCCAACTAATTAACAAGTGCATGGGCAGAATTTGTCTTAGAACTCTTTTGGAACTCTGGAGTCTACTGAAAGCTTGCAATGTCCACAGGAAGGCTTGGACGGTAACGGGTGGTTAATTTAGCTAAACCCCAGCTCTTGGCACAATAGCAGCCACACATCCATCCTCCACCCCCATTCCCATAGCAGGTGCCATGCACGAGTTCCTGGAGCAGCAGCCACACAGCTTGTGGGAAACAGGACGGCAAAAAGGACCCTGTCCTGCAGACATCGAGAACCTGTGCTCTGATCAGGTTGCCTGGGATCACAGATGTGCAGACAGGGAGGTGGGGCCATTGTTTTACACTCCCTCTGTTGTTGCAAGCTGCCCCTTCCAGCTGAAGTGACTTGAAGGGGATTTAGAGGGCTGGCACTGTTTTTTCTCCCTCATTTTTATCTTATTCCTCCTTTGGGAGCCAAACATGAAAGAACGGGACATTGAAAAACAGCAGCATGTAAGAGGAAAATTAGAAAGTGGCTGCACACACCCAGGGAAAGGGACAGGCTCAGAAAAGACCTGAGAAGACCTGAAGTTCACACCTAAGGGAGATTTCTGGCACAGACACAAAACATTTTTTAAAAAGTAACAAAAAAAAGCGAACGCTGGTGAAGGGCAAAATTCAAGAGCCACATTACTGAGTTCAAATGTTCACTTTTTAACACAAAATCACAAGGCACACAAAGCAATAAGAAAATATAGCACATTCAAAGGAGAAAAATAAATTAACAGAAGCTGTCTCTGCAAAAGACCTGATGGCAGATCTACTAGACAAAGACTTTAAAATGACTGTCTTAAAGATGCTCAAAGAACTACAGGAAGGTGTGGAGAAAGTCAAGAAAGTGATGTATGAACAACATGGAAATATCAATATAAAAACCTTGAAAGAAACCAGAAAGAAATTACAGAACTGAAAAGTACAATAGCTGAAATTGAAAACATCACTAGAGGAATCTGAAGGTGATTTGAGCAGACAAAAGAATAAATTAATGAGCTTGAAGATAAGATAATGGAAATTTTCAAAGACAAAAGATGAAAGAAAGGTGAAAAGAGCCTAAGGGGCTTGTGGCCACCATCAAGAGACAAGGAAGCATGCATGCCGTGGAAGCTGCAAACAGAAGAGAAAAAGAAAGGTGCAGAGAGACTATCTGAAGAAATAATGGCTGAAAGCTTCTCAAATTTGTTGGGAGACATGAATATAAACAGTTAAGAGCTCAGGGAACTCCAAGTAAGGTAAACTCAAAGAGACTCACACCAAGTTACATTATCATCAAACTTTCAAAAACAGAGAGAGAATCTGGAAAGCAGCAAGAGAAAAGCAACTGATCACATCCAAGGGCTTCTTAATAAGATTATCAGCAGATTTGTCACAGAAACTTTGGAAGCCAAAAGGCAGTGGACCAATATATTCAATGTACTAAAAGAAAAAAAAAACTGTTAACCAAGAGTCCTATATCCAGTAAAACTGTCCTTCAAAAGTGAGGGAGAAATTGGCATTCCCAGATAAACAAAAGCTAAGGGAGTTAATTGCCACTAGACCTGCCCTGCAGAAAATGGTCCAGGGAGTCCAGCAGGTAAAATGAAAGGACACTAGTCAATAACAGTAAGTCACATGAAGAAATGAAGATCTCAATAAAGGTAAATACATGGGCAATTATAAAAGCTGGTATTGCAACAACAGTTTGTAACTGCACTTTTTATGAATGAACCTGGAGGATATTAAACTAAAGGAAATAAGGCAGGCATAGAAGCAAATACTGCATGATCTCACATGTGGGATCTAAAAAAGTCACATTCATAGGAGCAGAGTAGAATGGTGGTTGTCAGGGGCTGAGGTCTAGGAAGGACAAATATGCGTGTGTGCCACAGATGTGGCTAGCAAGGAAGCCTCGAGGGGGGCCCAGCAGCCTGGCTCCAGACTGCTCTTCAGCATTGCAGCAGATGCAGGACAAGGAAGAGCCCTGCAGGGGGGCACCAGGAGACCAGCAGGTGTCCACCCTAATGGTGCAGGCCATCTGATAAGGGGTAGGGACTGGTGCCGGATGGACGGTGCCCATGCACAGAGTGGGGTGCAATGGGGCACAGCTGCCACCCCACTCTGTGCATAGGCAACGGGGGCCTCCTTGACTTACTGTTACTGAGTAGTGTCCTTTCATTTCGCCTGTTGGACTACTGGACCATTTCCTGCAGGGAAGGTCTAGTGGCAATTAACCCCCTTAGCTTTTGTTTATCTGGGAATGCTAACAGGGCACAGCCGAGGCCAGCCCACAGAGAAGAGGAAATGTGACTGTTGGTCGAAGGGTACAAAGTTTCAGTTATGCAGGAAAAGTAAGTTCTAGAGGTCTAATGTACACATGGTGATTACAGCTAGAATACTGTATCGCATATGGCACTTCAAACTTGAGTAGATCTTAAGTTTTCTCACCACACTCACAACGGTAACTGGTTGAAGTGATAGATGTCCACTAGCTTGACCTTAGATATATACAAAAACCCAAATATACGTAAAAGGACCTGCAGGAAGCCCTGTTTGGAGTGCTGTGCTTTTCATTCTGTCTGTGCTTAGTTCAGAATCACACAAGATCTTGTACCCACAGACAACTGCACCCAATGCACTGGGCCCTTGACACTCCAGTAGGAGTTAAATGCTGAGTCACTCTTGGTGCATCTAAGAGGCATGGAGAATTTACGAGAAGCTTAGCCAGCATCATCGAAAAAATATTTGTAGGTTGCCAAGCGGTGAGAGATAAGCATGAGTTATTTCCCAGAGTGGTCTTCTCCCTTCTTAAACCAAAGTTACATGGAAACATCAAACAAATCAAAGCATTTTAAGGAGAAGGGACATTTTCTCAAATTCTGCATTTGACTAAAGGAGCAAGAGGTAAGCACCATATAAGGACACCTGTGTGCCAGTGGCTGGCCCATGGGGTAGGGAGGAGCGATGAAGGAGCAGCCCCTCGGGGCCATCATGGTGACATGACCTTCACGTGCACTCCCGTGGCCTCCCACTGACCTCCGAATGTCCAGTGATGGGGGTGGAGGCAGAGGAAGCCCCAGCCCAGGGGCCTGTGCACCACTTTCCAAGATCACGGGACTCGTGCATTTGAGATGAGCGACTTGGCCGGCGTGTGTGTGGACCTGCCTCCCGAGCACCCCGGTGGCAGCTGTGCCCAGTTGCGCCCCACTCTGTGCACAGGCACTATCCATCCCGGCACTGGTCCCTGCCCTCATCAGATGGCCTGCACCACGAGGGTGGATGCCTGCTGGTCTCCTGGTGCTCCCCGGCTGGGAGCTTGCTTGTCCTGCATCTGCTGCGATGCTGAAGAGCGCTCTGGGGCCAGGCTGCTGGGCCCTCCTCCAGGCTCCCTCCTTGCTAGCCACACTTGCGGCACGCACACGTGTCTGTCCTTCCTAGGCCTCAGTTTCTCACCTGTAAACGGGAACAATACGCAGCTCCCAGGTCAGAGGATGCTTGCCTGTAGGACTCCTTGGAAACATCACCTGCCTCCGGTCCCAGGGGCCAGGGTTTGTGAGAGCTCAGGAGGGGTGTAGAGAGCAAAGTCCAGAGGGCCAGGCACCCGTTGCTGTTGTGGGGTGACACTCCCACAGCCCTTGTGACCTGAGCTCCATGTGTCACTCACAGAGTCCCACTGAGACAGCCCAGGGGGCTTCCTGGAGGCAGTGTCCCGGGCAGCCCAAGCCCAAGCCCCGCTCGCTCACTCTTGGCAGCTGCAGCAAGGGAGCCTCCCTACCCCACCCCGGCCCTCCCGTGTGAGGGGGCCTCACTCCCTTCCTCGTGGACCTGAGGGACAAGCCCACAACACAGCAAAACCCTCCACAGGGTCCCTGCTTGTGTGCTGACCACAGGGTTCACCCTCCCTTTGAGCGCCCCCCACGCCCCAGCACGGCTGCACTGTCCCCCACACTCTCCTCGAGGTGGGCCGGCGGGGTGGACACACAGGGCAGTGCCCAGGACGAGGTGGAGGGGGCGCTGGAGATGGAGCCGGGCAGGAGGCAGCAGGACCCCTCCAGCTCCCCTCCCCTCAGGGGCACATACTCCCTGATCCCTGGAGATGCAGCCAGGGACCTCTGTGGGCCTCGAGGGCTCTGTTCTGGTGCCCGGATCACAGCCCAGCACCCCCACTTTCGGGGCCTCGAAGTCTGCCCGAGGGGTCAGGCTGGGCTCCCCCTCCTCCTCCTGCCCCTCACCCAGGGCTGGGAGTGTCCAGCCCAACATAGGGGTCCGGCAGGAGTTGGGGCTAACCCAAGAGGAGCCTGGGCTGGGGAGGAGCTGAGAGGCCAGAAGAGGGGGCAGGACCCTCCCGGCCAGGCCACACCTGGGAAGGGGCTCCTTGATAAAGCTTGAGGCCCACCCCTGGCCAGAGGCAATGCAGGCCAGGAACGCTGATGGAGTCCCCCAGGACCCTGCACGGGACACGGCCTCCCTCGCACGGGGACGCTACCAAGCTGTCCAGATGTTCAGTGAAAAGTCCCCATCAGGCTGTGCCACCGACCGGGCCAGCTGCAGTTGCAGAAATTCCTCGCCCTCACAGCCCCACTCGGACCCCAGCCCCCAAGCCATGCAGCTGTGCCCCAACTCCCAGGAGACCGGCACCTTCCCTGAGGCTGAAGCTTGCTCACAGTGCTCAGCTGATCCCAGACAGTCTCGGGCTGGCAGGGCTAGGGCAGGGTCAGGTGTGCAGGCCTGGCGTTTCCCCTCCCACAGGCTGCAGCCCTCCCAGCCCACCGCTGTCCTGTCTGCCTCCGTGGGCTTGCAGTGGAGGACAAGGTGGGCTGTGCTGGAGCCTCCCGGGGCTCCAGGACACCGGACCCGGGTCCCTCCAGTCAGTACGGCTCCTGCAAGGCTGCCCTACCCACATGCTTGGTGGGGAACAGTAGCCAGGTGGGGTGTGGCTCCGGGGGGGTTGCCTGCAAGGCGGCTGGTGCTTGCTGGGCATTTGGGTGTTCCAGGGACGGAGGATGAGTGGGACCCAGGAATCTGGCTGCTTGTGGCAGTGCCAGCTGCCCTGGGGGTGACATCTAAGCCCTGAGATGCCAACATTCGCGGGCACAGCCCCTGCCTCAGAGAGCTCCAGCCCTATGAGATGCCAACAGCCGTGGGCACGGCCCCTGCCTCAGAGAGCTCCAGCCCTACGAGATGCCAACAGCCGTGGGCACGGTCCCTGCCTGGGAGAGCTCCAGCCCTACGAGATGCCAACAGCCGCGGGCACGGCCCCTGCCTCGGAGAGCTCCAGCCCTATGCTTCTGGGGCGCATCCACAAGGGCCCCCACTCCTGCACACACCAGGCCCCCCCAGCGCAGTTCCTGTGCCCCCCTCAGGCTCAGCCAGGCCCCGCTGCAGCCCTCCCTCCCTCCCTCCCTCCCTGCCCCTCCATTCCAGCCCACGTGGGCTTTACTCCTGGGACCACCTGTTGTCAGCACTTGTCCCTGCCCTGTCTGTGGCCCCCCGGCCACTCCCCAGGCCCCACACAGGGTCTGCAGAGGCTCTGGGCTTTGCTGAGAGAAACGGTCACTGGCCTGAAACTCAAGGGGAATCACCAAGCTCGTCATCCCTCACGGAGCCTGGTGGGTGGGCGTCCACCAGAATTTCCACTGCAGGCACCCCCACCTCCAGGTCCGGCACAGCTGCTAACCCCCACCAACCCTGTCCCAAAGCCCAAAGAGCAAACAGCAAGGCTGCTTCCCCTCGGCACTATGGGGAGGACAGCAGAGGAGGACAGAGCACCTCACCCTGCGGGGATAGGGCCTCTGGGCCAAGGCTGCCAGGTGCACATAGCAAGCAGAATCTGAATGGGGCAGGCACAGCTCAGGGGCCCCGTCTACTCCCGGACACAGAGGAGGGATCTGCTGGGGTCCTTTCTGGGCTGCCCCTGCCCCCAGGAGGTTAAAGAGTCCCCCTTTCCCTCCTCTTCCTGCCCCCAACTGTCCAGCCAGCAACAAGGCCAGGCCACACGGTGATGGGGCAACGTCCCCTGGGCCCAGAAGCGGCCCCCACTGTGGCAGGGAGGCTGTGTGCTTCAGGATGGGGAGGGGGACATGAAAGGCTCCCTCTCAGGACGGGCCCTGCAGACCTCCCTGGTCCCCACGCTGGTAGGGTCTCTGCACTGCCCACGCGGCAGCACCCTTGGCCCGAGCACGCTGGGGCTCCCAGGAAGCGCATCGAACCGTGCAGCTTAGTGACCGGAGCAAGGTCGATGCAGCCACACCTGAGCGGGAATCTCGGCTCCCTGGGGTGAGTCACGCCACTGCCCCACGCCTCAGTTTCCCCTCTGTGACTCGGGGCATGGCAGGGTATCTCGGGACCGTGCTGAGGACTAAATGCGCTAAAATGCTCAGGGAGCTCCAGGCCCAGGTGGCACCTGGACACATCGGCTGCGGTTCATCCAGCCCTCTTCCTGTCCAGACGCCGGCCTCCTCCCCACACAGGAGGCCTCACTCCCAGCTCTCCCACCTCCCGAGGGCCACGGGCCCCTGAACGTAGAGATTCGATGTGGGGGGAACCTGTACCAGGCTCACGTCAGCCCCGCCCACACTTACCTGGCAAGGCAAAAAGGAAAGGGTGGGGAGATCGGGGCCGGCCAGTTACCTGCAGCCGGCCCAATGAGCACACAGTACCCATCCTCCTGGGTCGGGAGCGAGGCACAGGCGACGGGCAGCCGGCCCCCGCCCAGGCGGCTCCAACACGCATCCTGCAGGGCCTCGCAGAACTGGCAGCAGGGTGGCGGGGCGGGCGGCGGGACGCTGCCGCATGGGGGGACCAGCAGCAGGCAGAAGAACCAGGCGAGGAAGGGGTGGCAGTGCGTCTGCAGCAGGCCCCCCCACGCCCGTGCCCCGGCCCGCACCTGCTCGCCGCTCTCGTGGTGGAGGTGGTTGGGCAGCCAGAAGCGTGAGATGCCCAGGTGGCCGCAGACTGGCAGGGAGGGTGGCAGGGGCAGGCAGCGACCGGCGGGGGCCTCGGGGTCAGCCCCGAGCAGGGCAGAGTTATTAGCAAGACCCGGCCCCACAGAGTTAGCCACGTGGGAGACCCAAGCACCGCTGTCCCTGGTTAAAGTGGTGACTGCGACCTGAGACAGTGCGCCCGGGAGCCCAGAGGAGAAGGCGGAGGGGGCCGCGTGCTTGCCCAGGGAGCCCATCACCAGGGGGTGCAGAAGTGGCGTGCGCAGGCGGACGTCAGGGCGTTGGAGCTGCTGGCTGGGAGCGGCTGCGGCGGGCGAGAGTCCTTGGCTGTCTGGGTCCTGCAGGCTTCCCCAGGGAGGGGCCCCGCCCAGCAAGGAGGAGAGAGAAGCTCTACCTGAAGATGGTGGTGGCACTGAGGGCCCCGTGAGTGGTGCCCAGGGCCTGCCCAGGGAGGGAGGCGATGGGGTGGGTGCAGGCAAGGTGCCAGCCTCGGTTGTGTGGGCGCCCGGAGAGCTAGGAATGCCACGGCTGGGCCAGAGAGTGGTCCCATTCTCCTGGGGGGTGCTGGAAGGCCCAGCGAGGGCAAGGGGGCCCACAGGAGTCTCCAGGACCAGGGTTTCCGCCCTGGCCAAGCTCTCAGTGGGGACAGTGTCATTCCACAGCTGGACGAAGCTCCGGATGCCTTTGGCCACGTTCAGGATCTCGGCTCCGACACCGGCAATGTTCTCCTCTGGCGCGTCCGGGCTCTCGGCAGAAGTGGGGGTGTCCTGGCCATCTTCCAGCAGCTCTGAGGGTGGCTCAGGGCTGCCAGGGGCTGTCGCTGGCTCTGTGGAACCATTCCGGGGGGTCACGTGTGTGGTGGTATCTGCTGTGGGCTGCACAGGCAGGGGCCCCTGGGGCTCAGGGATCGTGGTAGCTGCATGGCTGGTGTCCTCATTATTGAACCAAAGCCAGTTCAGGTTCAGCAGGTTGGCCCGGGCAGCCGCCAGGCAGCAGAAGAGCAGCAGCAGGATGTGGCAGCCACAGGGGTAGGGAGCCATCGGGGCAGTGCGGCTGGAGCTGCGGGCGGCGGGAGGGCCTCTGTGCCTGGAGGTGGGGCTAGCCAGGCTCACGCCCTCCTGCCCTCCCCTGTGCAGGCTTCCCAGCCTCTGGCCGGCTGTCTTCCACCCCCCACTCTTGCAGAAGGAAAGAAGGCACCAGCCTTGGAATCAAGGTGCCCAGCACCCGGGGGTTCCAGCACCCAAGGATTTATAACTTCTTTCCCACGGCCCTGCAGCAGCCCCAGGCTCCGTGAGGACAGAGGGTGCTGTGTGCAGTGTCCACAGGGTTCCCAACGTGCTCCGCTAGGCTCTGCCGGGGCAGGGCTGCTGAGTCTCTGGATTGGGGCTCCAAGCCAGGACCCCATCCCAGAAGCACTGAGGCAGCGGCCCCCAGCCCCTGCTCCCCCTCTGACCTGGAACGCCCAGAGGCGCCTGGCCTGGAGCCATTGTGTTGTGGGAAACTTGGAACCGAAAAAATGCTCAGCTTGCTGCAGTGCCAATTCCACTGTTGCAATGGCTGCCCAAGTCGTTAAACATCCCGGGGAGGGTCTCGAGGGGCTCAGACCCTCTCAGAGCTGCTGTGCCTCCCCTCAAAGCTGGGGCTTTACCTGCCTTGGACTGTGTCCCTCTCAGCCCTTCCTGACCTTCTGCCCAGGAGACCCAGCAGAGACGGAGCCCGGGACCAGGGCAGGAATGCATACTCCTTCCCGGCCTCAGTCTCCCCGTCCACAAAAGGATCCGGTTAGACTGGAACATTCCAGGCAGCCGGTAACCCACAGGGATGTGAGTGGCATGTGAGTGGCTGCTGTGCCCCCCCGCCAGCTGCCCAGGCACAGCAGTGGGTGCTGAGTGTGCCTTATGCCCTCTGAGGACCTGTGTGCAGCCTGGCCATCGGCCCATTTCACAGATGAAGAAAACTGAGGCATGAGCCTGGTGACCCCGCTCAAGATCACGGAGCCCATCAGAGGTGGAGCCAGGCAGTTTACACAGGCGTGCTCACTCACACACACGTTCACACATGTGCATCCTCACACGCACACACCCAGGTTTCACCCCACAATCCACCCACCCCCTCAGTGCTCTGCACGCCAGCTCCCCCAGCTGGAGTCCCTCGTCACCCTGCCTCCTCCAGGCTGTGCGGCTGGGGTTGCAGCCACCCTCCCCCAGGGCTGGGGTCAGTTAATGTGACAGCAGCTGTGACGAAACAGCCCCACAACCTGTCCCCAGCTGTCCCCAGGTCAGGACATGCTGTAGCCATCGGTCGATTGCTGTCCACAGGGCAGGGCTGGGCTGCTTGGGACCCAGCCTTGTTTCAAGCAGCTGAGTGCCACCTCCTTCTCGAGGGCAGGCGCAGGCATTCCACAAGCAAACATCTGCATGTCAGTGAGGCCGTGCTCCCAAAACGAATCCCCACACTGCTCAAACTCGTCTCAGAGATGCCCAGAGAAGTCTCTTTGCTTGAAAACTGACTGCTGCTGCTGTGATTTTATGTCTGAACACGCCTCCGGAAAGTCTCCAAACAGAAATTCCAGAGACTGCCCCCTCCTCCACCAGCGCATCTCAGGAAGGGAACTCTGTTGTGGGGGACACCCCCAGCCCCATCCCGAAGGCTCTGTGCTCAGAGGGTCACTGGCCAGCTGGGCTGGCCCTACATTCATGCCCCCCAATATACACCTCCTGGGCAGAGCCAGGCACAAGGAACTGATTACGCCTAGCAATGGAGGGAGAGCAGCTCCGGCCCTCGGGGCCACACTTGGAGGATGGTGGCAGCCCCATGGCACTGAGCACCCACCCTGCCATCTGCAGGGTGCCCAGCTCCCTCCACCCTTCCCCTGCCCACTCCATTCCTGACCCCACCCTTCCTGCCCACTGTCCAGGACTCCTCCACCTCTAAGTGCTTTGAGAGCTTCCTGTCCACCATTGGGGTTCCCTCACCTCCAAGCACCTCCACAGCATCGCACGTTTAACCTCCTGGAAATCCTAGTGCGGCTCTGCCACGGCTCCA
This sequence comes from Homo sapiens, assembly GCF_000001405.40. Lineage (NCBI taxonomy): Eukaryota > Metazoa > Chordata > Mammalia > Primates > Hominidae > Homo > Homo sapiens. Next base: position 70,760 of record NW_025791815.1, on the reverse strand, counting down.
CAGCTCAGCCCCCGGGATCTGGTTCCCACCAGGAAGCACCTGGCAAGGGTGGCTACTACATAAGCCTCCTCACATCATCACTCAAACGCACGCATGTGTACGCACATGCTCACACACGAACACCCACATATGCACACATATATGTATGCTCACTCCTGCTCATGCATGAACACATGCACATGCATGCTTAGCTATGCCATATATGTCACATGTGAATACTCACATACACAAGCCCCCACACATGTACATATAAGCGTACGTGCCAGACATGAATGCTCATATGCATACACAAGCACACACATGTACATACATGCTCACATGTCACACATGAATACATGCATACACAATCACACACACATACATGCTCACACATGTCACATGTGAATACTCGCATACACAAGCCCACACACATACATAATGCTTACATGTCATACATGAATGCTCACATGCATACACAAGCTCACACATGTACATACATGCTTACATGTCACACATGAATACTCGCAATCACACACATACATATAGGCTCACATGTCACATGTGAATACTCATGCATACACAAGGTCACACATGTACATACATGCTCACATGTCACATGTGAATACTCACACACATGTACATACATGCTCACATGTCACATGTGAATACTCACATGCATACACAAGCCCCACACATACATACATGTTTACACATGTCATACATGCTCACATGCATACACAATCACATATGTACATGCATGCTCACACGTCAGTGAATACTCACATGCATACACAATCACACGTACATATATGCTCACACGTCACATGTGAATATTCATGCATACACAAACTCACATACATGCTCACACATGTCACACATGAATACATGCATACACAAGCTCACACACACATGCTTACATGTCAGATACAAATGCTCACATGCATACACAAGCCCCCACATGTACATACATGCTTACATGTGTCACATGAATGCTCACATGCATACACAATCACATATGTACATGCATGCTCACACGTCACGTGAATACACACATGCATACAGAAACACACACGTACATATATGCTCACATGTCACACGTGAGTACTCACATGCATACACAAGCTCACATATATACACACACGTCACACATGAATACATGCATACACAAGCTCACATACATGCTTACACATGTCACAGAGTGCATATGCATGCTCAGCTCTGCCATGCATGCTCACACACACACGCACACAGGCAAGCACACTCACCATGTACTTGCACTCTCAGAAAGCACCCTGGTGTTGCCCAAGTCCTGCTAGCAGCATGGCCAGGGATCCAGGCCTCCTTCCCAGCCCCTGCCCAGCTCTGTGTAAAGGGCCCGACTGTGGCTCGTTCCAGGATCTGGGTGCCCAGATGGCACCATGAGCAGTGCGGACCAGGGTTTCGGCATGGCCTCTTCCCCTTGGTGGAGGGAGCAGAGAAGCTGAGGCACAAGGAGCAGCAGTTGGCAGTTTCCCTGCGGCTCCTCGGTGCCTCCTGGGGTGAGTGCGGCCTCAGGCCTGCCAGAGACAGAGGACACACGTGTCGTCATGAGGGACCTTGGGGTCTGCAGGAAGGCAGGAACCACTTGGCTCTGATGGGGCGGCTGGGAGGCCCATGATGGAGCTCACTGGAGATGACCCCAGCCAAGGAGGAAGAGGGCCCATGGATCCCGATGGAGCAGAGTTGACAGGACAGGTGAGACCCCTCCCTGGGGGTGCGCAGGACCTGGGTGACACAGGAGAGTGCCCCAGTCTGAAGTGCCCCCACCCTATTGCCTTGAGGCCTGAGATCGACCTTCCCAGTCTGACTTCATAGAGGAAGCAGCCTTCAAATCCCACCGCCTTCCCCTCTGAGCGCTCCTGCTGCTGAGTGCAGAACGTGGCGTCCTCATTCGACTCAACAAAGGCAACGTTAACCACAAACTCCCTCAGCAAACCCCACGCAGACAAGTGCATCATCCCTGTGAAGGCCAGCGAGGAGCTGGGGAAGAGCATGGCTCGCCAACCCCGTGGGATCCCGGAAAGGCGGCACCCCACAACACAGCCACCCAGCTGTGTCCCCAGGGCCCCAGAGCCTGTGGGGCCCCTTTCTCTGGCTCTCAGTTATGACAACAGGAGGGCCAAGGGGCTCCCTTCCTGGAAGCCAAGCTGACCCAGCTGCTGGGTTGCACATCATCACAGCCTGTCCCAGTGCGTGTGGAGTTTGACCTTGGGTTGACTCCCTGCTCTATCCCTGATGAGAAAATGGGTCTCCTCTGTTGCTAGGCTACAGTGCTGTGGTACCATGGCCCCCGCTGGCCGGCCATCTGGCCAGGGCACTAGAAATGCCCGTTGGAAGCTGTAGCCATGGGCTACCCGCACGCAGCCACTCTTGTTATCATGACCTGCCCGCTCCTGAGGAGCCTGAGGCTAACAGCTCAGAACCTCACACCCCCCAGAGGACCTGCTGTCCCCCACTGGTGCCGTCCTGCAGAGTCGGGCCCTGTCTCCAGAGGTGATGGCACCGCCGGAGCAGCCACGAGGGCCCTGGAGCCTAAGCGTCCACCTGGCCTTGGTGGACCCGGGGGTGCTGTCCCACCATGGAGTGTGTGTCCTCCCTCAGCCTCTGGTGTCCGCACAGCCATCGAGGGCTCACCACTGCCACGCCAGCCACGGGCTCCAAACGTTGAAGCAGCTGGCTGTGGGGTGCAGGGTGGGCACACCGGGAGGGAGGCCTGAGATGCGGTGGGGAGGTCACATGCACTGGCTGCAGTTTCAGAGGACGAGGGAGACCACCCACCATGAACACAGGTGCCAAGAACTGAGCCTCCCCACTCCCTGCACCCCATCTGGTCTTCGGGAAGGTTCCACCCTCCCACTGTCTCCGCCCTGCCCCGAGCCAGGGTTTGTCCTGTCTTGTTGGCCTGTCTGGTTTAAATTCCTAAATAGTGTGGTCTTTTATTTTCTTTTTTTAAAAAGGTACAAACATCCACACGTGAACAGGGGAAACTGGTTCATCAGGGGGCAAAGAGGGGGGCTCATTTCCGGGCTGAAGGCCCCAACCGTAGCTTTGAGGCTCCGGGCTGTTCAATCGTCAGAGGCGTCCCTCCTGCTTCTGGCCACCCTAGGCCTCAGCCCGTGGCGGGTGGCTCTGGGCTGCCTCTCCGCGGGTCTCCCACACCTCGACCCTGAAGGCTGGGGGAGGATGACAGGGATGAGGGAGCAGGGCAGACCCCACCTGAGCCACCCTCTTCATTCCCTGAGCTTGTCCTTGCCCCCAGATGCTCGCCCGAGCCCAGAATGTCCTGCAGAGACCCCTCAGGTGTGGCCTCCCTCCCCTCCTTCCCCAGGGACCAGAGACTGTCCAAGGACAGGCCCAGGCAGGCTCCTGGAGATTCCAGGGAGCGAAACCTGGGCCCTGAGGTCCCAGTACCCACTGCCCATGGGCACGCCCCCAGGCAGGCACAGCCAGTCAAGGTTTGGATGCCGCAGACACGTCTCCAGCCCTTTTGAAATGAAAACATGACTTTTCATCTTTCTGTGGCGCAACTAGTTTATGATTGTCTGAAGTCTCTGAACGTGCTTCCTGGGCTCTGCATTTTGTGGCTACTTTTTCAAACCACGATGATAAAGGCAGCTTTATCATGGCACTTCCAGAGTGCCCCCTGACATCTCTGCTGCTTGGCCGGGACCTCTCACCAGACCTGGCCACCGGGCACAACCCGGCCAGCGGCATGACCAGCTGCCGCCACCTGCAGATTCAGTGGCTGGAGGTGGCCGCACAGTGAGAGGGCCGGGTGGCCAGGCCTGGGTCCAGGTCCCTGGAGGGCACTCCCCTGTCACCAAACACATGGACCTGAAGACCTACGGTAGCAGAGGGAGTGTGGCCACACCCTGTCTAACACCCACCCCCAGCTTACAGCCTCTTTCCCCCGCTGCTCAGTGCTCAGGGTGCCCCATAAGCCCATTCTCTCCCCCACGGTGGGGGCAGGGTGGAGGCTTCTGTCCCCCGATTCCACGACGAGGCTTCTCTTAGCTCTTCCCTGGATGTACATTCCTGGACTCAGCCGTGTCCCTCCCCAGGCTCTGGTGTCCCTCTGACCGCTCGGCAGAGCCTGGGGACTATGAGGTGGGGAGCCTGAGGTCTTCAACCCCAATCCTCCACTGGGTGATCACGAGTGGTGGGAGCCTTCTTGGCTCCTAAATTAATGCCAAGCACAGCCTGGCGCTCAGCGGGCAGCCTGCCTCTTCTCCCCGCACCTGGCCGGCGGCAGCTGGAAGCCCATGTGAGCCAGGCCCTCCCCTCGGGCTTGGTGCAACCTCCACCGCAGCCCCAGGGCCCACCCTTGGGAAGGCCGCCAGAGACACAGGAGATGGATCACTGGTGAAGGGTCATGAGCCGGGCAGCGGGGCCTGAGGCAGGAGCAGCAAGAGGATCAAAGCGCCGCAGGGAAAAGACACTTTAGACATCTTCCCAGGGACAGCTGCCACCTCTGCCCCTGACAGGAGGCCACGGGGAGGACACACAGTCCCCTGCCATGGCTCTCCACAAAGCCTGCACCTAAACACGAGCAGGCAGGTGGGTGAGTCCAGGCTGCGGGTCAGACACCCCCATAGAAACCCAGCTGGACTGCCACGTTAGGAAGAAGGCGGTGGGGCAGCGGGGGCGGGCAGGGCTGCTCCAGAGTCAACAGACTACAGAGCAGGACACTAATGCAACACGTGGTCCCTGACGGCTCTGGGACTGCCCAAAAGATACGCAGGCCAGTGGGGCAAAGGACATTATGGAGCGCATCTGAAGACGACCTGTTCACAGGAGGACGGACAGAATGATTGTAAACTTCTCAGGCGTGACAATGACACTGTGGCTCTGTGGGAGAATGTCCTTGTTCTTGGGACACGCACACAGAAGTGCATCTACAGGGCAATGTGTGGAGATGCTGCGGCTCACCTCAGCGAGCGTCTGTACTTGCATGTGGGTATGCAGAAGCACACGTGTGCGCGTGTACACGGATGTGTGGATATGGATACATGCATGCATGGATATCTGTGTGTGTGGACTGCATGTGGATTATGTGTGCATACAGATGAGCATGTGTGAATGTGTGCATGGGTATGTACATGTGCACACATGGATATGCATCACGGATGTGTGCGGATATGTACGCATGTGGAGGTGCATGTAGATATTCTTGTGTGCACACGCATGGATACCTGTGCATGTGGATATGCGTGTGTGTGGATATGGACACAGATGGAGAGAAAGGGAGTGCCTGGGAAAAATGTGGCAAGTGTTTGCTTGTGAGTCGAATGGAAGGTGTGTATGAGCGTTTTCTGATCATCGTATCAACGTCAATGCAGGTTTGAAATGTTCTCAAAGGATGTTTGTAGAGAAAATAGAGGTTTCTTCCTGATGTCTTCTGGCAAACTCCCTATGCCAGCTCTACCTCTGGCAGTCCAGGTGACTCAGCAGAGGGTGGGAAGAAATGCTTTTCAGACCTCGATCCATGTCCCCTGGGGCTCTGTGTGGGTGTTATTCCTGCATGCCTTCAAAGCCTTGTTACTCCTTCCAGTCCGAGGAGGCTGGCAGAAGACGCTGCCTCTGTCTTCTCCTGAATGCTGCTGCAAGGGGGGCCAATGGGTGGAGCACAGCAGGGCAGCGAGGCTCACCGACATCTCCTGCTTGATGTGATAAAGTTCACTGAGGGCGAACCAAAAGACCTCAATGTGCTCTATAGGCTCTAAGGGAACCATCCATGCTCTACCCAAAACAAAGCAGATATTTTCAAAGACTCTAAGAAGTTCGAGAGCCAAGAGGTCCCCCGATTTTGTTCTTCTCCAGGATTGCTTTGGCCATTCTGGGTTCCTTGAAATTCAATTTAAGTATTGGGGTCACTTTGACAATTTCTATAGCCAGTGGGGATTCTGGCAGGAGTTGTGTGGACTCTAGTTGATTTAGGGAGTATTCTGTCTTCCAATCCATAAACATGGGATAACTTTCCATTTATTTAGATCTTCCTTAATTACTTTCAATGTTGCTTTGTAGTTTTCAGAGTATAAGTTCTTGTTGATGCTGTTGTAAACAGATTTTTCTTTCTTAATTTCATTTTTGGATTGTTCATTGCAAAATAAATACAATAGATTTTTCTATACTGATTTTATACCCTGCAACCTTGTTGAGCTCATTTATTGGTTCTAATAGTTTTTTTGTGGATTACTTAGAAAAAACTGTAATTTTAGAGGAACAATAAAAAACTTTTTAGAGGTTAGAACTTTTACTTTTAAATATACATATGATATATGATATATATGATATATGATATATATATATATAAGATCTGGCCTCTAAAAATACAGTTTTACTTGTTCCTTTCCAATCTGGATGTCTTTTATTTCTTCTTGCCTAACTTTCGTGGCTAGAACCTCCAGTACAATGTTAAACAGAAGGCGCAATAGGGAACGTCCTTGTCTTGCTCCTGATCTTAGGAGGAAAGCATTCGCTCCTCCACCACAAGCACGGTGTCAGCTGTGGGCTCTGTCACAGATGCTCTTTACCAGCTTGTTAAGTGTTTTTCATGAATGGTGTTGAATTTTGTCCAATACTTTCTCTGCATCTATTGAGATGATTGGGTGTTTTTAATATTTTATTCTATTGATATGATGTATTACATTGATTTTCAAGTGTTAAACCAACCTTGAATTCCTGGGATAAATCCCACTTAGCCATGGTGAATTTTTTTTATATGTTGCTGGATTTTATTTACTAGTAGTCTACCAAGGATTTCTGTGTCCATAATTCGTAAGATAAACTAGTCTGCAATTTTCTTTTTTTGGCAATGTCTTTGTCTGATTATGGTATCAGAGTAATATTGGTCTCATAAAATGAATTGAGAAGCATTTCCCACTCTCCTAGTCTTTTGAAAGAGTTTGTGAGAATTGGTTTTAATTCTTTAAATGCTTGGTAGAATTTAGCTGGGAAGCTCTCTGGTCCTTGGCTTTTCTTTATGGGTGTTTTTGGATTACTAATTCAACCTCTTCACTTGTTATATATCTATTCACATTGTCTATTTCTTGTTGAATCAGTTTGAGTAGTTTGCACCTTTCTAGGAAATTTTCAATTTCATCTGCCATCTATTTTGTTCATAGTATTGGATTAGAAAAAAGTCAAAGGACTTACATTCCCAGTTTTAAGACTTACAATGCGATGGTAACAGGACAGTGTGGGAGTGGCGCAAGGACAGACACACGCATCGGTGCAGTGGAACTGAGGGTTCTGGAATAAACTCATAACCTACGGGCAACTCATGTTTGACAAGAATGTCGAGACTGTTCAGTGAGGAAAGAGCAGCCTTCAACAAACGGTGCTGGGCCAACGAACAGATACACGCAAAAGGGCGAAGCTGGATCCCTACTTCACACCACATGCAGCTATTAAAATTTTTATTTTAGCTCTTAAATAAAAGAGCTAAAATAAAAAAACTTTTGAAGGTTTTCTTTTTCATAACCTTGGATTTGGCAAAAGATTCTTACATATGACAGCAAAAGCCCAAGTGACAAAAGAAAAATAAATTGGACTTCGTAAAAACTTAAAAGTTTTGTGCCTCAAAGGACACCATCAAGAAAGTGAAATGACATCTCACAGAATGGGAGAAGATATTTGCGAATCATATATGTGAGGAAGCACTTCTATCTAGATGATGTAAAGAACTCATAAATCAACAACAAAAAGACAATAATCCAACTAAAAGTGGGCAAGAATCGGAATAGACATTTCTCCAAAGAAGAAATACAGATCGCCAAGAAAGACAAAAAAAGATGTTCAACATTATCAGTCATCATGAAAATGCAAATGAAAACCACAAGACACTGCTTTACACCCAACATGGGCTGGAAACAAAAAGTCAGAGAAAAACAAGTGATGGCAAAGATGTGGCGAAATCAGAACTCCCAAGGCTGCAGGAAGGGACGTGAGATGGTGCAGACACTTGGGAAAGCAGGCTGGCGGCTGCTCAAATGAGTAAACACAGTTACCATAGTCCCAGTGATTCCACCTTAGGTATATACCCGAGAGAAACGAAGACACACGTCCACACTGAAACTTGTACACAAGTGTTCACAACAGCACCGTTCATCACAGCTAAAAGGTGGACACCGCTCAGAAGTCCACCAAATGCTGAATCCATAAGCACAGCATGGTGCCTCCACCTGGTGGGACATTATTCAGTGACAGCAAGGAATGAAGCCCTGGGACAGGGTGCAACACGGACGAACCCGGAAACCACAGGCCGAGGGGAAGAAGCCAGACAGAAACGACCACACGTTCCATGGTTTAATTCGTATGGAAGCTCAGAAGACGGAACCCAGGGACAGAAAGGAGATGACCGGTGGCCAGGACTGGAGGGAGGGAGGGCGGCGGAAAGGCTTCTCTCTGGAGTGATGAAATGTTCCACGGTCGATGGGGATGATGGTGGCATAGATTTTTGAATATACTGAAAACCACTGGATTGTACACTTCGAGTGAATTGCACGGAATGTGAATTACATCTCAATAAAGCCATTCAAAACAATCAAGGGAGACCCACATCACATTTTCCAAACCACGCAATCCTTAATGCTGCTTGATTTCTTATTAATTCCATTTTGAGTGAGATTGATTTTTTTCATGTATTTGATGAAAGTTTTTCTCTTATAAATTCCTGTGCTTTCAAACTCATTTTTAGAGGGGCTATATCAACTTTTAAAAACTAGGGTATGGACACGGAGTCATCTTTGCTGCTAATGTTGGTTTTCAAACCTAGTACCAGCATGTTCGAGGAGCACGTGGCTTCCTCCTAACACGTGGAGTAGTGTTTCCTCCCTGGCTCACAGCCTCCACTCCCCGGAGCCTCTCTCGCCCTGCACGACCCAGGCTCTCAGAGCTGCTCTCGTGCTGGCCCCCGGTGCTCGCAGCTGGCATTTATCGAGGGCTCCTCTGTCCACAGCACTGTGGAACCACCCTCCATGCACGAGTGAGCGTGCACCTCACAACTATCCTGGCATGTGCATTTTACAGCCAGAAAACCAAAAGTCCGGACGACCAGCTGACCCCAGCCCTACGCCTCACCACAACCCCGCACATCACCCACACGAGCACAACGTCCTTCATTCACTCTGCACATCCCACACCTCACTACACCCCTGCACGCACCTCACTACACCCCTGCACGCCACCTACTCGGGCACACGGCCCTTCATTCACTCCACACGCACACCCGTGCTCCTGCTGCAAGCCCAGCCTGCTCGCAGCACTGAAGATGCGCTGGAGAACAAAACCTGGCACAAAGTGAACTTAGAGGTGATTTCGGGAGGCAGGAGGTACCATGGAGCGAATGTGTCACATGGGAAAGGGTAGAGGACGCCACGGGACGACCACGCCAGGCCAGGATGTGCAACGGGGAAGGGGCCGAACAGAAGACAAGAGAGAGCGACAGCGTGGCAGCCGGGAAGCACGTTCCCCACAGAGGGACACTGAATTCTTGCGTGGCAACATGGCCCCCCAGTGGTAGGGCCAGACACCTACTCGCCCTGTGACATCCTGGCCACCCAAAAGAGGACAGGCAGTCCTGGCTGCCACTGGGAGGACGGTCCCCTTCCTAGGAGTCTGGAGGGCCACCAGATGTCCAGTGTCCCTCGGACGCATCTAGGGGATCATGCAGCAGGCATCTCTCCTTAGTGCTGCAGCTCAGCTATTCCTCTCCACCAGCAGAGCCGCGTAAAGGGGCACGGGGCCGCATTGCTCTCATAAAGACTCTTCACCAGGAAATTGGCACTTGATTTGTGTTTTCACGGAGGCCTCCCTGGGGACCCGGCTGCAGCCCGGGATGTGACAGACAGGTACAGGACCACCCAGAGGCTTCACTTTTCGCCCACGTGGGAGAAAAAGGGCCGCCTGTCGGAGAACAGTTCAGCACAGTCCACACCCCGGGACCTCCTAGGTCCCGAGAGACCACAGTGCAAGGAGGGAGCCCTTGGCCGAGGCTCCTAGCTCTGGGTGGCCAGTGGCAAAGCATCTCCACCACCGGGACTCTGCTGCGATGCCGAGCTGGGCTGTGAGGGCCAAGGAGGAAAGGCACGGGCGGCCTTTCAAGCTGGTGAAGGCCCACTTGGTTTTCAAGGGTTTACCAGGTTGCTCCTTAACTGGGTTTTCTCATGGAAGGCCCCAGGGCAGGCTCACACAGCCAGGTTCCCATGGGGCTGCCAGACCTACCCAGACCCCAGCTGTGACAGCCACACTTGTGCCGGTTGGGGCCATGGGGTAAGCACCTCCCAGGCACCAGGACCTGTGCTGGATGCAAGACCCAGCTGTCCTCCAGGAATCCACCCACACCAGCACCGCCGCCCACACCAGCACCGCCGCCCACACCAGCACCGCCGCCCACACCAGCACCGCCGCCCACATCAGCACCACCACCACCCACACCAGCACCACCACCGCCCACACCAGCACCGCCGCCCACATCAGCACCACCACCACCCACATCAGCACCGCCGCCCACACCAGCACCGCCACCCACACCAGCACCACCACCCACATCAGCACCGCTGCCCACACCAGCACCACCACCGCCCACACCAGCACCACCACCCACATCAGCACCGCTGCCCACACCAGCACCACCACCGCCCACACCAGGACCTCCGCCCACACCAGGACCGCCGCCCACACCAGGACCTCCGCCCACACCAGCACCACCACCGCCCACACCAGGACCGCCGCCCACACCAGCACCGCTGCCCACACCAGCCCCGCTGCCCACACCAGGACCGCCGCCCACACCAGGACCTCCGCCCACACCAGCACCACCACCGCCCACACCAGGACCGCCGCCCACACCAGCACCGCTGCCCACACCAGCCCCGCTGCCCACACCAGGACCGCCGCCCACACCAGCACCACCGCCCACACCAGGACTGCCACTCTTGGGCCTGGGCGTGCTCATCCGAAGGGGTCCGGCCCTGCTACTACCCGGCGACAGAGACTACGATGTCCAGGAGTGGAGGAAGTGGAGGCAGAGGCTGACAGGGCAGCGCCTGCCCAGCTGACAGAGGTGAGGGTGGGCTCAGGGGCAGGGACACCCATGGTGAGTGAGACACATGGGTGATGTGCAGCCAGAGAGTGAGGGGCCCTCCCCACAGACACGACGTGTGCCTCTGTGGCTTCACGGTTTTCATCATGCTCTGCAGTTACAAAAATAAAACTCACAGGTGGGATTTAAAGGAGAAAAAGCAAGGCACGGGCACAGAACGGGCAGGGTTTCCTCACGTGCACCCTGTGCACCGGTGGTATCCAGTCATGGCCAGTGTCCAGGCTCAAGGCTGTGGCCCCACAGCAGCTACGGTGGGCAACAGGGCAGCGCCACCCACTCAAGGGCACAGCCGAGCTGCAGGACTGTGCAGTCAGGGCAAATGGGCCTCCCCGCAGGACTGCGTGGATGAGGGCGAGGTGACCTCCCCTGGGCTGAACCCCACACAGTGACTGTGAGAAGCACACAAGATGCACAGTCCTCTCCCTGGAGTGAGGGTCCCAGGGGGTCACCAGGCCTGTGCTTTGGCAGGGAGACCCCGAGACCCCATGGACCCTGTGCTGAGGGCGGCCTCCCGTGGCCTTGGGAGTGGCATGGGGAGTCCCTCCTTTATGGAGAGAGCCGTGTTCCCAGCAGCGTGCTCCATCCTTTAAGGACATGGGACATTTTCTGCTGGAAATAGTTGCATATCAGAGGTGGGCGTCTGAGGGGGACAGGTGAGAGCTGACCCGGCGCCATGCCATAAGCTGGCCCTGCTCAGAGGAGACCTGTTGGCGTGAAGAGCCAGCGGCAGAACATGGGAAGCTCACGGCCGTGTTCTGTAGAAGGCGCCGGCTGGTGAAGCAGAGATGGCAGATCACGGAGAGGAGCAGGGGGAACATGAACAGCCCGGGACGGGAACCATGGCCAGAGCCACCGGGCAGCAGGACTGGAGGACCCGGTGGGGGCACCTCCAGGCCAGGAGCTGGCAGCCCTCGAGGTGGGTTCAAGCGTCCCGAGGCCTGGAGGCAGCTGCTGGGGCAGGTGGGGCACCTGGGATGGGCATGTGGGGGTTTTATGATTTAACACAGGAAAACTCTACCTGGGCATCTGTGCTGTCCCTCATCTTCTGGGGACAGTAGGGGCAGCGTCTTGCCCCATTGCTTCCCCCTCTCCCAGTACAGAACCAAAATAAGACCTCGATGAACCCTGAAGGGCAGCAGGTGGAGGAGCGTGTGCCAGAAGTAGAGGTGAGGGACCAGGGCCACGCAGGAGCAGCCTCTGTGTGTAGGGGAGCTGTGGTGTCCAGAACCTGCAAGACCCCAGGTCTGGGCAGCTGCAGCAGATTCCGCCCATAGTGGGGAGATGGGAAAGTCTGTTGTAATTCCCAGGGCCATGTGAGGCGGTGGGCAGAGCTTGGAGCGGAAAGGCGGGTGTCCCCGGGGTTTGCATCCCGGGGGCAAGCAGTGAGGTCTCCATCAGCCTCGGCACAGCGAGAGAACTGCTGAGCCTCCTATGAGTGAGCGTCCCGTGGTTCCCACGCACGATAACGTCCTAGAAGTGCTGATCTTGCCCCCAGGTTCCAGCCCTGCTCCCAAGTTCAGATCACCCAGGGTGCTGGGAAACCTCACCCTGCCTGGGCCCATGGCCAGGGGCCAGTTCCTAGCTCCAGGTCTGGGGCGGAGTCCGGCATCGACATTTCCAAAAAGCTTAGACACGATCCCCACGTGCAGCCAGGGTGTGACATAAACCCCCGCAGGCCCTGACTGCTTCCGGGGAACGTGGTTCAAACCCCAGCAGGCCCCGACTGCTTCCGGGGAACGTGGCTCAAACCCCAGCAGGCCCCAGCTGCTTCCGGGGAACGTGGCTCAAACCCCAGCAGGCCCCGACTGCTTCCGGGGAACGTGGCTCAAACCCCAGCAGGCCCCGACTGCTTCCGGGGAACGTGGCTCAAACCCCAGCAGGCCCCGACTGCTTCCGGGGAACGTGGCTCAAACCCCAGCAGGCCCCGACTGCTTGCGGGGAACATGGCACGGAGGCCCAGGACCTGGAGCCAGGGGTCAGCCCTGGGCAGGGCCTGAGGAGCCCACCCAGCAACTCCCAGTGGACCCCTGGCAGGCCTGAAGCACCCGCTTTCCTCACAGACAGCAAGGGGCAGCTCTGGACCCTCTCCGTGGGTGGGCAAGAAGCTAAGGGGCTGTGAGAGCCCAGGGAGGCCTCTGCTTCTGAATCTTGCAGAGCTTGGAGAACGCAGCAAATTCCAGCGGGAGCCTGTGTGCACAGGTGAGGAAGCTGAGCTGGTGCGGAGCAGTCACACAGCCACAGCCACAGCCGACGTTCCGACCCCGCAGCCCTTGCCCTTACATCCCCGAGCGTCGGGGGCTAGGCCGGAGACGTTTGCCCCATCATCGGAGGACCGGCCCCTCCGCCCATGCGGCCCACGGCCTGCCAGCCTCCGCTGGCGCTTTCTGGGTGCTGGCCCCACAGAAGGGGTGGGAGGTGCGGAGTCGGGGCACCAGCGCGCAGCCCGAGATTTCCCAGTTTGCTTTCGCTCAGGAAGTCATCAGACAAACACTCCCATCTCCCAGGCCTAGTTCCCACTCCTTGCTACATTCACAGCCGGAGACTGTAATGGACTTCACAGGCTCGCACTGAGCACTCAGGGGCGCAGAGAGCGGCATTTCCCGAGCATCTTAGAGGCCAGGCTCTGTGCTTGGCGCCAGGACGAGCTGCACTTCCAAATCCAAACCCTGCTTGCTGCACGCGCCCAAAGCCGCCCAGGCTGGCAGCAGCTCCGGGCAAAACACGCTCTGAACACGGCCGCAGCTCGCAGACCCGGAGGCCCCGCGCACAGGACTTGGCCCAGGACGTCTGGAGCCCGCGCGACGCGCTTCCGTCAAGCCAGGGACCGGCCGCCAGGGGGAGCCAGAGGCCCAGGCATTTCTCAGCAGGCACCGAAGTCCCAATGGCAACTTTCACCAATAAGTTCACTTTGCTCTTGGTTTCGTCGGACGTTTTTATGATGAACGTAACGCACACGTTGCGATACGTAAAGGCCTAGAAAGTAAAAGGTCATGACCTCTCTGCCCACCAGCCCGTGACCGGCGGGCGCCCGGCATCCACACGGCCTCTGCTCACACGCACACGAGGCACGCACCAGAGGAGCCGAAACGGAACGCGCTGCGCCCTCCGCGCCCCTGGACCACGGCCACTCGGGCGGTCCAGGCCTGCCTGGGGTGCTGCGGAAGAGCAGGCCCCTCCCACTGTGTTCTGTTGCGGAAATGACCAAGGAACACGTTTGCTGATTACAGCACTGTACATAACAGCAACAGATAGGTTTTCTCGAATTAAAAAACGTTAAGTGTAGTTTTTAACAGACACATAAGGGTCACATTTGTGGGATGCCTGGTGGGGTCAGATGCGGGTGATGAGCGTGGCCTGCACCTCCGACAGCCTTTCTTTGCGCTGGGAACGGCCCTGCCAAATTGCCATGCAAGTCCCTAAGCACGTCCTGTGGCTTTCGGTATCCATCTCCACACAGACCCACAGCAGCCCCTCGGCCCCCACCGGCCCCCAGACCACACCAGGGAGCCCCGGGTCGCCATCTGGAATGTGCCTCTGGATGCCAAGTCACATGTGGGCATCTAACTTCACTTTCTTCCTTCCGGCTGCACAGACAGACCTGCTAACGTGTCTAATAAGCCACTCTGCCTGCAAGGATTAGATGCGCCTTTGTCCACGTGCTGTGGAGCTTGCGTGGCCCTGGCACCCTGCAGAGGCGTCCTGAGCCTCAGTGGACTCCCGTCAGAGTTGAACAGCCATGGAAGGGCTCAGTGCAAATGGGGTCTTAGCCTCTACAGCACACACTCCCTCTCCACTGCCCCTTTCCCTTTCCTGCCCTGAACACCAGCCCTGCAGAGTAGCCCAAAGCCCTGAGAAGGGCAGGCCGTGCAGCCGGCAGGAAAAGTAAACCCAACATCGAGAAAACAAGGATGGGTGCACAGTGTGACCGGCACTCCGTGCCCAGGCACCCAGGGATGAGCTCCAGAGGCCAGGTCCGGGGTCCCCTGCCCAGCCCTGGAGTGTGAGGGTCTGAGTGTGTGAGTGTGTGTGTGTGCAGGAGAGTGCCTGTGTGTCTGAGTGTGTGAGTGTGTGTGTGTGCAGGAGAGTGCCTGTGTGTCTGAGTGTGTGTGTGTGCAGGAGAGTGCCTGTGTGTCTGAGTGTGAGTGTGTGTGTGTGCAGGAGAGTGCCTGTGTGTCTGAGTGTGTGAGTGTGTGTGTGCAGGAGAGTGCCTGTGTGTCTGAGTGTGAGTGTGTGTATGCAGGAGAGTGCCTGTGTCTGAGTGAGTGTGTGTGTGCAGGAGAGTGCCTGTGTGTCTGAGTGTGAGTGTGAGTGTGTGCAGGAGAGTGCTTGTCTGAGTGTGAGTGTGAGTGTGTGCAGGAGAGTGCCTGTGTGTCTGTGTGTGAGTGAGTGTGTGTGTGCAGGAGAGTGCCTGTGTGTCTGAGTGTGTGAGTGTGTGTGTGCAGGAGAGTGCCTGTGTGTCTGAGTGTGTGTGTGTGTGTGCAGGAGAGTGCCTGTGTCTGAGTGAGTGTGTGTGTGCAGGAGAGTGCCTGTGTGTCTGAGTGTGAGTGTGAGTGTGTGCAGGAGAGTGCTTGTCTGAGTGTGAGTGTGTGCAGGAGAGTGCCTGTGTGTCTGTGTGTGAGTGAGTGTGTGTGTGTGCAGGAGAGTGCCTGTGTCTGAGTGTGTGAGTGTGTGTGTGCAGGAGAGTGCCTGTGTGTCTGAGTGTGTGTGTGTGTGTGCAGGAGAGTGCCTGTGTGTCTGAGTGTGTGTGTGTGCAGGAGAGTGCCTGTGTGAGTGTGTGTGCAGGAGAGTGCCTGTGTGTCTGAGTGTGTGAGTGTGTGTGTGTACAGGAGAGTGCCTGTGTCTGTGTGTGTGTGTGTGCAGGAGAGTGCCTGTGTGTCTGAGTGTGTGTGTGCAGGAGAGTGCCTGTGTGTGAGTGTGAGTGTGTGCAGGAGAGTGCCTGTGTGTCTGTCTGTGAGTGAGTGTGTGTGTGCAGGAGAGTGCCTGTGTGTCTGAGTGTGAGTGTGTGTGTGCAGGAGAGTGCCTGTGTGTCTGAGTGTGTGTGTGTGCGCAGGAGAGTGCCTGTGTGTCTGAGTGTGTGTGTGTGCAGGAGAGTGCCTGTGTGAGTGTGTGTGTGTGCAGGAGAGTGCCTGTGTGTCTGAGTGTGTGAGTGTGTGTGTGTACAGGAGAGTGCCTGTGTGTCTGTGTGTGTGTGTGCAGGAGAGTGCCTGTGTGTCTGTGTGAGTGTGTGTGCAGGAGAGTGCCTGTGTCTGAGTGTGAGTGTGTGTGGAGAGTGCCTGTGTGTCTGTGTGTGAGTGTGTGTGCAGGAGAGTGCCTGTGTGATGCTGTGGTGTGAACAGCACACACCCTCACCTGCAGAACCTTGGCAATAGAACCCACCTTCACTATGTACAGGAACGGATGCAGACAGCAGAAGCCCCAGCCACAGCTCCTGCCACAGCCAGCTGCTCCCCAGCCAGGGCCCCGCGCAGCCCGGCTCGCCCCTAGCCAGCCCCTCCCTAGCCAGGGTTCCCCCAGCCATGGCTGCCCCCCAGCCAGCAACTCCCCAGTCACAGACCCCCAGGCACGGCACTCCCCCAGCCACAGCTCCCCAGTAGCCACAGCTCCCTCCCTCCACAGCTTCCCCGCCAAGCCACATCTCCCTCCCATCAGGGACCCCACAGCCACGGCTCCCTCCTTCTAGGGCCCCCCACCAGCAGTCCCCTGAGCAGCCTCAGCTCCCTCCCCACCAGACCCCCTCCCCCAGCCTCAGCCCCACCCCAGCCACAGTTCCAGGGCTGCAGGGGTGGGGCACTTTCCCGCCATCCAGTCCCATGGTCCCCTCCCCAATGGGAGTTCCATGTGGCCTCCACGTGGCCTGAGGCACAGGCGCCCACAAAGACGACTTTTTTGCCGAACCGAAAGCCCTCTCCTTCCAGATAGAGCAGGAAGTAGAATCTCCACTCCCCAGCTTTAAAATCACAAGAAATGAAGGAAGTCAGGAAAATGAACACAGATTCACAATGGGGCGGCGGCACAGTCCCTCGTCCCTGCCCAGCTCACGCAGGCTTCTGCCCACTGCACACGCTGGATGGGCCCCGGGTGAGGGTGGCTGCTTTGCTGTGACACTGCTGTACAGCTCACTCATCCCTGGGCCTGGGACCTCCTGGCTGAGGGTCTCCTCAGCCCAGGGGCCCACCATCAGCTCAAGGAAATCAAGGGCTAGAATCACTGTCACCCACGTGGGCATTCACCAGAGGGATGGCAGCCCTGTAGGTAGGGTTTCAAATGAGCCCCCTTTAAACATGCTCTTGCTCACAGAGGATACTGTCTGCAAACGCTGCACATTGTGCTGGCTTTATAAACGCACCCAGAAGATGAGCCTGAGGCCCCAGTGTCCCCCTTGCCGACTGCAGTGGGCAGGAATTGGCCACCCTGCCTGGGCCATGGACCCACAGCTCTGCTGTGAAGGATAGTGGGTGAGGCTGGGACCCCAGGGTGCATCTCACAGGGGCTCAAGAGAGGGGCACACGGAGTTACTGATGGGAAGAGCATTTGTTCATAGGTGTCCCAATTGACAGACCCACGATCCTGAATGCAGAGGAGGCCGACACCCTCCGAGCAGACCTGTGCCAGGGAGCGCCGGGGGGACGTCCAAGGGGCCCATAGGTACTCGGGATGCCCCAACATGCCTCAGCCCACGGCAGACCCTTCACCCTATAGGACTCCCAGCTCCCCATCCACCCAGCGTCTACCCCAGTGGGCAAACGCTCACTTCCTGCTCCCTGACCCCACCTCTGCCCCAGCCAACCTCTGACTCCCTCCCGGACTCCCACAGCCTGGCCCTGCCCGTGCCTCCCACCTGACACATGGAGGCCGAGCTGGGGCTCAGAGGGTGGGTGCTCCCCAGCCCCCAGGGTCACTAAGAACGGGCTGCCCATTCCTGGTGGGTCTGTGCTCAGAGGGAAGGCCAGGACTCCATGGCCCAGCTGAGCACCTACACTGAAGGGGCTTCTGAACCCAGACCTAACCAACCCACCCATGGACCAAACAGCTGGAGGTCTGCAGGAGGTCTCTGATGGGGACGCCCCCACTTCCTCCTCCTCCCTCCGCCCACCCCCACCCCACCTTCCTCCTCTTCCTTCCTCCCTCCCCCCACCCCCTTCTTCCTCTTCTCTCCTCCCGCCCCCACCCCACCTTCCTCTCTTCCTCCCATCGACCCCCTACCCACTTCCCAGGACTCACACCTGCAGTGCGGCATCCCGGCATCCCTATATCTGTCCCCAGGAGGGCGGGTTCACCCCACCATCCCCACCTGCACCCACAGAAGAATGGGGACCAGGGCTGCGAGAAAGCAGGACAGTGGCTTTCCTTCAGCCCTTGGTGCTCCAGGGACAAATCCCACTGAGCACGTCCCTCAGGAAACCATGCAGGGTCAGAACCAGCCCCCGGCTTCCCCTCTGACTGGGCTTTCCCGACCCAGGCTCTCAAGCCACAGCCTGTCAGCATCACAGGAACCAGGGCCTGGTCTAGGACCGGCTGTTCAAAGGCCCTGGGTCACCCCTCACCAGAGAGACCCCAGCACAGCCCAAAAGAGAGAAGCGATGCCCCTTTCCGGGAAGCCCGGCTCTGGGGGCTGCAACCCACCGGGACCCCCGCCAAGACGTGGGGGAGCCCCCATCTCCCCACTGCCAGTCAGCCCAGATACATCCACGAACCACCTGCATATACAGTCTTTGGTTAGGAAGGAGGTGGAAGTGGAACGTCCAGATGCAAATTCATTCAGCCTCTGCCACCCTCTGAGGAGAAGATGCACTGGGTTCTTCTCCATGATTTTTTAAAGGCTGTTGTAACAGCCCTGCTTGTACATGCCAAGCCTCTGAAGCTCACAGAGCCACGGGAAGCCCTCACCCCGACTCAGGCAGGGAGTCCCAGCCTCTGGCCTGATGCTCAGAACTGCTGCAAACCCCCCCGGAGAGAGCAAGGAAAGTAGGTCTCATGCACAGACTCTCTCACCTGGACCTGTTAATGGCTGCCTGGGGGGTCAGATGGGAAAGGTACCTGGTTTCTGAACTGAGAACAGAGGTTTCAGGAGCTCCTGCGCCCGTCCCAGCACGGGCCGCCTGTCCCCGAGGGCAGAAATGCTGTGGCCCTGCACCCTCTGGTCAGATGCTTCTGTCCTGCCCTGCCACAACCCCCTCCTGCAAGAGCTTGAATATCACCACCCCCCGGTGAAGCCACTGCCTCTGGGTTTCTGGATCATGCACCCATGAGCCACAGGAGCACAGGCTTGCACAGGAAGTGTCTGCTCACACACCTGGCCCATGCACCTGCTCACACACCTGGCCCATGCACCTGCTCACACACCTGGCCCATGCACCTGCTCACACACCTGGCTCATGCACCTGCACACACATCTGTTTGGCACCTGAGCCCCCAAAGGGTGGGTGTTCATTCCCCTCCGCCCCTGATGGTCTCTTTCCCACCGTGCACAAAAACTGGGGTTCCTGGGGGGCTCACCTGACACCACCTGGCTCCTGGCACCTGCTCAGTGCCCCTCAGCCTGTCATGCCATGCCACAGCCCCTCCCCTGGCCAGTGCTTTCAGTGAACCCATTTGCAGGGGAGAAAAACTGAGGCACAGAGAAGACACATGACCCAACAGTCACACGGCTGGCCAAAGAGATGCTGCCTGTCAGTGTAAAGAAAATTATCGAATCCCACATGGGACCAAGAGCTCAGGAATGTGAGCTGCTGGGGGCTCCAAATGCCATCCAGCTCATCTCCCCCAGGGGTGACTTCAAAAGGTGTTCTTGCAGGAGCTCTTCTCATAGGACAAGCCCAGCTCACAGGGGCCACGACAGCCACGCGAAAGGAGCCTCCTTGCAGGCCCTGGGCCGGCATCTGTTGGATCAACCTGAATCCACCCGAGACCTGCAAAGTCCCTGGTATTTTCTTGGTGCTCTGTGGCCCTGCTCACCTTCCAGACAGAACTACTACCAGGCACAGGCACAGACGCACACAAAGACGACCAGAGAGGCTCCCGGGCTCCACTCTCATGGAGCTGGTCCAATCCACACACAATGGGTACTAGCAACCTCAAATTTTAAAGTTTGTTTAAAGCATGTTACCTATAAAAATAAAGGGCTTTTAAGAGCCGTAAGTGGAAAGATTGAACTAAATGTTCTGTCCTATCATCCAAACTTTCTGTCCACATCTGAACAAACCCAGCGCGTCCCTCTCTCCTTGTCCTTCTATAAACTCACAAGGTCAGAAGGAATCAAACATGAAAGGGTGTCCGTGACCCTCTCGAAATGAAGCCATTGTTGCTGTTTTCTTTGGCTAAATGACTCAGTCAAGTTTCGAAGAGGATTAACATCTGTGTACACTGCTGTTTTTTCTAGAACCTATTTGGGGTTTCTCATACTTATTCTAGGAAAAGTAGATGCAGGAGGCACCTCTCCCTAGAGGGGTGAATTTAGTGGGACATTTGGCATAACTCTGCCGGAGGGGTTGGCACAGGCATCTGTCTTCTGCAGCCTTGATTTCTGTGGGTGGAGGGTGAGGCCCCTCCCGGCTGTACCGAGGGAGGCCTGCACAGGGCTGGCTCACAGAGCAGGCTTTTGCTGTAGGACAGCCTGCTACGGGGCCATGTCCCACCCTGACCCACAGAGCCACGTGCCCAGAGACATTTCAAGGAAGCTTCCAGATCCCAGCCCACGGACCCACGGAATGGCTCAAGATTCCCGCCAGCAATCACACAGAAACTGGCCATTGTCCTGCCGCGCTCTGACCCCAGCAGTATGGTCCAGATGCTCTGACTGGAGCCACAGGCTCTGAGATGCGGCAGATGTTAGGACTCGAGGGGGTTCTCACCCAAAAAGTGGGTGATGAAAAATGGCAATGTGGCTCCCAGCAGGGCCTGCATAGCCCAGGGGGCTGTGTCTGCAGAGCCTCCAGCTGAGCACCCCAGTCCATCCCACTCCAGGCCCTGTGCAGAGGGAGAGGAGGCCGCTAGGTAAATATCCACCTGATTTAAACCTGGAGGCAATCAATGGACCACATCACCCACAACATGAAGTGGGGGGTCCCTCAGCGGCATCTGCAAGGCTGCCTGCCACAGACTCTCACTGAGACCCTGGAATGTGGCCTCCGCCAAGGCCACCTCCGCCAGCCCAGCCCCAGCCCCAGCTCTGACCTTCAGGACCCCCCATGAGGGCACCTGTCCCCCAAATCCAGGGAGGCCCTGCTGGGGCAGGGAGAGGCCTGGGGCTTGTTCCAGTCTGTGCTCTGGAACTTTCCTTATCTCCAACCTGTGTCTGCTCTAAAGTGCTGGAAGGAGGCCAGTGGGGACCGAGGTGGGCACCGCCCAGGGCCTGCAGCCCACAGCAGGCTCAGCTGTGGGAGGGTCTCCATGGGCTTAATAGGATGTGGGCCGGGAAAGTAGCTTATGACACCCTTGTTAGCAATGGGGCAGGAATGAGAGCAGCCGTCACCAGGGCAGCAAGTGCAAACCAAACCAGGGCTGCCCTTGGCAGGAGCAGTGACCACCCACCCACTCACCCGCCTGGTACCCCCGCTGTACCCCGAGGAGCTGAGAGCAGGGGCTCTGCTGCCCCCACCAATGCGCGCGGCTTAGACCGTCCGCGACGGCCTGCCCTGCCTGTGCCCAAATTGTCTCAAATGGCAGACACCGAGAGCCGCAGAGAGCCAGCTGGGATTGTCTTGGGGGCCTTGGGGTCTGCTGGGCCCTCCAGAACATCACCACTTTCCGGGGGCTTCCAGGAATCGGTCAGAATGAGTCCACCCTCCTGTGGGCCGTCTAGGCCTGGCCTCCACCCCTGACCCCCAGGGCCGCCTGGTCCTGCCTGCCCCCCTCCCCTGGGCCGCCGAGTCCTGCCTGCCCCCCTCCCCTGGGCCGCCGGGTCCTGCCTGCCCCCTCCCCTGGGCCGCCGGGTCCTGCCTGCCCCCCTCCCCTGGGCCGCCGGGTCCTGCCTGCCCACCTCCCCTGGGCCGCCGGGTCCTGCCTGCCCCCCTCCCCTGGGCCGCCGGGTCCTGCCTGCCCCCCTCCCCTGGGCCGCCGGGTCCACACACGCTCCGCTGTCTCTGCAGCCAGCACTGGCCCTGCACACAGCAGGTGCTCGGTGGAGGTCACCTGGGCCTCCCCAGGTCTCTGCAAACACTGACCCTCTGTCCTTGGCCCAGAAGGGGTGGGACACCCTGTCTGTCCGTCGCCCACCCTTGGAGAGCACAGAGGCAGGCTCCCTCCCAGGCCTGCCTGACAGCCCAGATAAGCCGCTATGAATGGAATGCGACCTCCTCCCGCACAGGAGCGTCACCCCCAGCCTCAAACCAGCAAACAAACCACCTGGAAGCCAAGAGACCAGTGCCTGCCTGAGAACAGTCCTGCTCGGCCCGCCCGTCAACAGGCAAGGGCACCCCGGGACTTATTTCTAGGTCTTTCTACGGACTTGATTTTCAATGGCCCAGCTGACTAAGGGCGGGCGAGGTGGTCTACGTGTTCTGTTCCATCTGATCCGCCTTGCTCCCGAGCTGACCCTGCCTCATGGGGTGACCACGGCCGGCAGAGCCTCGTGATCCCGGCTTCCCAGGGCAGCCCCACAAAGGAGCTTGCTTTGGTGGACGAGTGCGGGCTGAGGGCCGGGGAAAGCCAGCCGGGCCACTGACGCTCCCTTGCAGTGCAGCCTCCTGCCTAGAAATAAAGGCAAGTTCTCCCAGACCAGCCACGAGACCCCGGGCCGAGACGCGCCATCTCCACATTCTTGGGCTTCCAGAGACTTAGGCAGCCACCCACGCGCTCCATCAGCCTTTGTAACCGGACCCGGGGTCACCAAGAATGACCCTGAACCTGCCCAGAGTGGATGCCCCACCCGGTCCCTCCTCAGCAGCTCCCTTGGGCACAGCTGGAGCAGAAGCCCAGGATCCCAGTCTCGAGCCCCCTCCCCAGCAAGCAGCAGGCAGCAGAGGACCCGGGTGGCAGGCAGGCCCCTCCTGCCATGTCAGTCGTAGCCTATGAAAAGGCTGTGTCCTCCCAGAGCATTCAGGGTGAGAGGCACCGGGGAGGTGCTTCGACCTATTCAGAACCTTAGCTCTGACCACCACAGAGTTCCACACGCTCAGGAGAAGGCGAGAGGGCGCTAGAAAGATGGCGGCCCCCAAACCATGACCCCACTTCACATACAGGAGAGGGCGAGAGGGTGCTAGAAAGATAGGGGGCCCCCAAACCATGACCCCACTTCATGGACACAGCACATGCAGGCGAGGGCGAGAGGGCGCTAGGGAGACGGGGGGTCCCCAACGAGAGGGCGCTAGGGAGATGGGGGCCCCCAAACCATGACCCCACTTCACATGCTGGAGAGGGCGAGAGAACGCTAGGGAGACGGGGGGCCCCAAAACCATGACCCCGCTTCACAGACACAGCACATGCAGGAGAGGACGAGAGGGCGCTAGGGAGACGGGGGGTCCCCAATGAGAGGGCGCGAGGGAGATGAGGGCCCCAAAACCATGACCCCGCTTCACAGACACAGCACTCCTGGCCTGGCACCGCTGTAGAGACAGGAGCCGTTCTGCTGAACCAAGGCGGGCAGGCTTGGTTGGGGGAGCCCAGGTCCCGTGCACATGGGCCCAGAGGAGGTGGGGAGGGGGCACTGGCAGCTGAGGACACACTGGCTTTCACATGCCCTGGAGAGGATGCTGACAGGGGCTGCCAGAGCCTGTCCGTCACCCGCAGTCAGGCTCCCAGCTCCACCGTCCTGGGATCCTGCCGCCTGCTCATGAGCATGTTCATTAGCTCAGAACTCAAAACTAGAAGATGCCTCCAGCCCCATCATGAGACTGGAGAGGGGAGAAGAGGAGACAGGAAGTGGAGCCTTCCTGGGCCATGTTCTATGCAGCCGAGCCTGGGTGCTGGGTGCACAGTGGGTGACTGAATGATGGAATGGGCGGGCACTGCCAATCAACGTCCGCTGACTCCCTCTCCTCCTGCTGTGGGCACTGCCCCTTCCTCACAGGGACCTGCAGCAGCCATCGCTGACAGCGACCATCACCCACAGCTCCCCGTGGCAACTGTGCACCTGCAACGCCCATGCCTGGGA
Organism: Homo sapiens; assembly: GCF_000001405.40. Taxonomy (NCBI): domain Eukaryota; kingdom Metazoa; phylum Chordata; class Mammalia; order Primates; family Hominidae; genus Homo; species Homo sapiens. Next base: position 46,548 of record NW_025791815.1, on the reverse strand, counting down.
CTCTGGCCTTTCATCTTGGGGAGCCCTGGCTGAAATGTTTTCCAAAGGAAAGGAGACAGGGAAAGAGACTCTCAGATCCCTCCAGGGATGCAGTTAAAGAAAGCTGTAGTCTCGGCTGGGCGCGGTGGCTCACGCCTGTAATCCCAACAATTTGGGAGGCCGAGGCGGGCAGATCACAAGGTCGGAAGATCGAGACCATCCTGGCCAACATGATGAAACCCCATCTCTACTAAAAATACAAAAAAATTGGCCGGGTGGGGTGGCGCGCCTATAGTCCCAGCTACTCGGGAGGCTGAGGCAAAAGAATCAGTTGAACCTGGGAGGCAGAGGTTATAGTGAGCCGAGATCGCACCACTGCACTCCAGCCTGAAAACAGAGCAAGACTCCGTCTCAAATTAAAAAAAAAAAAAGAAAAGAAAGAAAGCAAGCTATAGTCTCGAGTGCAGAGACATTTCAGGCACATAAAACATGCTTTAAAACGTAGAGAATCTATGGTGGACTATTACACACCCATGAAAAGGGATGAATTGTGGGTCTGCACAACACCACGACGTACCTGGAAACGTGAGGCTTGTGAGAGGAGCCCGAAACAAAAGGCCTCGCACTGCGGGAACCACCTGCATGAACGTCCAGAACCGCCGATCCAGAGGTGGAAAGTGGACTCGCAGGTTCTTGGGGCCGGGCGGTGGCTGCGTGATGGCCCAGGGCTCCCTCTCTCCGGCGTGTGAATGTTCTAGAGTTGGGCAGTGGTGATGGCTGCACAGCCTTCTGGCTGTACTAAATGTCACCGAATTGTTCGCTTTAAGATGGTTAATTTTATGCGTTGTGAATTTCACCTCAACTTAAAAAAGTTAAAGAATCCAATCGTTTCCAGTCCTTCAAAAGATGGAAAATGCCAGGGTGGAAACTGGTGGCCTCGGTCCTGGCTGCTACTGAAGTCTCCTGATCCCAGAGACCCCATCCTTGGCCACGCCTGGCTGGTCACCCCTGCACGCCGGGTCAGCTGAGGGTGCCCCTGGCCCCACCTTCCTCAGAGCGGGCTCAGCCAGTCTCCCGGTTCCCACAGCGCTGCGTCTTTGAGGCCCGAGGCCACCCTCACCACACGCTCCTCAAACTCTGAGAGCCCCCAGGCCCAGACGCCGCCTGCCTGCAGGAGCGCCGGACCCCAACCTGCACAGCACTCAAGATGCACACTCGAGCTGCCCACAGAGGGATGGGGGCAGTCAGGAAGGCTTCATGGAGGAGGTGGTGCCGACGGGCCTTGGCCGGCGCGAGCAGTGGGCAGGAGTAGGCTGCGTTGGCTGTGACCCAGGAGGCCTCGTGTCCTCCCGGCTCTGCAGGGCCAGGGACAACATCTCCCAGGACAGAACAAGCAGGGAAGTCCTGACCCAGTCAGACTCATCCAGGCCCCGGGTGTATGAGTCACCTGGGCTCATTAGTCAGGCCTGAGCTCATCGCCAGTTGCCGGCGCATTCCCGAGGCCTCGCCCCCCTTCCGCTGGTTCTCAGTCCTGCAGACCCAACCCCAGGGCCAGGGCGCATGGGAGTCACGTGATGGCGACCAGCATGAATGCTCGGCCCGGCAGACCAGTTGTCTGGCAAAGGCACCCAGAGCACTGGCCACCCCTCACGGCAAAGTCCAGGGTACGCACAAGCATGCACAGAGACCTCAACACCCGCCGGCCTGCCCACCCCACCTGGAGAATTCCGCTCCCCGCCCGCCGTGGTGCTGGTGTGTCCAGACACACCGCAGAGGTGTGAGGTCAAGAGCAGGGGTGGCCGCGGAGCAAGAGGGGGCCTGCCTGGGGGAGGCGGAGCCCATGGGCACGGCACCCGGGCACACAGTCTGGTCAGTGCCAGGCGGGTCAAGAGGCCTGAGGCAGACATGGGAGGCTGGTGGGCCAGGGGAGCCAGAAGCCTCAGGGACTGCTGGTGAGTTACTAGGGGCCACATCTGGCCTCCTGATTCAATGCCAGCCTTAAGAATTGCCCCAGAAGAAAGGGGTGGGGAGAAGCCTCCAGGGGCCACTGGCAGGACAGCAGGGGGAGGTGACACTGTGATTTAAAAGGTCGAGAGAGAAAGGGCTGCGATGGAGGTGGATATGGCACCCACACGGAGAACAGAAAGCTGGGCCCAGCCCCCAGCGTGGCTGCCATTAACACTGAGTCCAGATATTCCAGTGACCAGGCCCTACACACGCTCCGGAGAGAGCCCGGCTTTTTAAACTGCAGCAGAAAGCAAACGCACAGACATCGCCTTCCAGAAGTGTGAGCGTGAAGCTGGGGTGTCTGCACCTCAGGAGTCTGCCCTGCTGGAGTGCAGCCCTGGGACAGCAGGGCTGAGAAGCCCCTGCGTCCTGAGAGCACCTGTGTGCACGGCACCCCCGCATCCCCTCCCCTCTGCTCAGCCCCCTGCTGTTCAAGAGGCAGCTCCTTCCACCGCGGGGAGCATCAGTCCCAGCAGCATGGGTACCCTCCAAGGCCTCCCTCCCAGACCCCTCAACAGAGGAGAAAAGACAGAGAGGAGGCCCCAGAATGGGCAAGTGTCTGCAGGAGGATGCAGCCACAAGCTCCCAAACCTGCTGGACGAAGTGGGCAATCAGCAGCACGTGCAGAGGGCGGACACTCCCGTGGTCTCACGCAAGGGCTGAGCATGCAGTGTCGCTGCTGTCCCGGCCAGGCCTGGCACCCAAGGGTTTCTGGGGGCTTCCAGGGCCGGAAAGGGACCTGCGCTCTCCCACTCAGGGCGTGGCAGGGTTTCCGGGGGCTTCCAGGGCCGGACGTGATGGGGGAGCGCTGCAGGGGTTTGGGCTTCTCCATCTCGGCGAGGAGGGTGTGGACGCCCGCCCGGGAGAGCAAGCGCAGCCTCGCCACGCTGAACCAGGGGCTGCCCTCTCCCAAAATAACTCCAGGCCAGGCTCGGTGGCTCACACCTGTAATCCCAGCACTTTGGGAGGCCAAGGCAGGCGGATCACCTGAGGTCAGGAGTTCGAGACCAGCCTGGCCAACATGGTGAAACCCCATCTCTACTAAAAACACAAAAATTAGCCAGGTGTGGTGGCGGGCGCCTGTAATTCCAGCTACTCCAGAGGCTGAGATGTGAGAATCGCTTGAACCCGGGAGGTAGAGGTTGCAGTGAGCCAAGATTACACCACTGCAGTCCACCCTGGGCGACAGAGCGAGACTCTGTCTCAAAAAAAGAAAAAAAGTAACTCGAAAGTCACTCAAACTAAATGCTGTCAATTCACTTACGCCCCAGCCAGGCAACTGTGAAAAGGTGGGGAAGCAGGAGGGGGCGGGGCGGGGGCAGTGCTCTCTAAAAACCAGAGGAGTCACACTCAGCCCCTTCCTGGGTTCTCATCCCACATGAAAGAAGCAACAGGGATGCAGGGATGAGGCCTCACGGTGCTTTGGGCAAGAAGGACAGCCGGCCGAAGTCAGAATGAAGTTTGCACGCACAGATGTGCTGTTCTAACTTGGGATAAATGTGGATCTCGTGAATCCCGAGAGCCCTTGGCGCTCTGGCTTTGCTTTGGAAAACAGTGTCCCCTGCCAGACCACCCTGGGGAGGATGGGGGTCACCACAGGCCCCCAGGGATGTTTCCTTTCTGCTGCCCAAGTCCAGAGACCAAAGGCCCCGAACCTCCCCCTGAGGAGCCGGGGAGGCTGGACGACGAGAGGGACCCTCTGACTCCAGACACAGGACCCCACCTTGTGCAAGTCTGCAGCCCAGCTCCACACCTCACAGGGCAGCCCACGGGAGGTAGCTGTGCAGTGTTCATGCAGGAGGGTGTGGGTGAGTGGGGTTGTGACCCCTGCCGTGACGGTTTTCAGAGGCCTTGGGCCACCCGAGGGTGAGGCAGGGGGTCCACCTCCATGCACACCTCTTGGGGGACAGTTGCAGGGACCCCAGGGACCCGCTGACTCTGTGTCAGCACCAGGGTCCTCCAGGGGAGCCCAGTCTGGGGCTCTGACAGGCGTGTCCAGGGAGACAGGTGGACGCGGTCACACTGCACTCACAGCACACACACACACACGGCCGGGGCTCCAACAGGCGTGTCCGGGGAGACGGGCGGACGCGGTCACACTGCACTCAGCACACACATGGCTGGGGCTCTGCGCAGCCCAAGACTGGTGTGAGGAAGGAGGCGGTGGGTGGTGCTGCCCACCCATTGGCTCACAGGCCCAGCAGCACCGATGGAGAGGCCGCGATGCCACAAGTCAGACCCACCCCGTCCTCATGAGACTGACTGGCCCCCGAGCCCGGGGCATCTGAGAAACCTCCTGCGAATGGCTACAGAGGAAATTTTCAGGTGCGAGAGATCTGAAGAAAGTTCTGGAACCCGCGCCTGGACCGGTTTGGACCCTCAGTGGAAACACATCAAAGAGAAGGAAAACCAGCTGGGGAAGGATCCTGGCAGCGGTGGCTCAGGTCTGGGAGAAAGAGGCGCGGGCGAGGCAGTGCCTGAGCAATGGAAACCGACGGGCAGGAGGCGGGAAGGGGCTGCGCCACGGGCCTCCCAGGGTCCCCACGCCACTGCACACCTAGGACTGAGGGAGGGTCAGTGGGGGCCAAGGGCTGCCCCGGAAGGGAGCCGGTTTTCAGGAGCTTCCAAGCTGAAGGGCAGAAGCCACCAGGACCTGGCCCAGCGCTCTGGTCCAGGGTCAGGTCACACCTCTGACCAGGGATTGGAGGCTGCAAATTGGAGGCACCACTGGCCGAGTGCTCGCGAGTTCTCCACTGGTCAGGTGGGCCGCAGGGGCCTTGGGGGAGCGCCTTGGCACTGTGGGAGGTGACCACGCAGGCTCAGGCACGGCTGCCCTGGGGGTCATCCTCTGTGGGGCACCTTGGGGCAGGTGTCTGTATCCCGGGAACCCTCGCCCAGAGACCCACGGCTAACCCACAGCAGAGCTGCGCTCCAGGCGTGTTTACCTGCGCCACACACCTCCTCACCTGGCTCTCCGCCCTGCAGAGAGGGCCTCCCACTGCTCCCCAGCAGAGCCCTGAGCCTGCCTGTGCCCTGGGCCTGCCAACACCACCAGGGCCCACCACAGAGGCACAGGAAGCCTGGGTTTGCTCCTGAATTGCCGTGACTGCCACCTCCTCCACCTGAGAAGGTGTCCCTGTGTCACTGTGGATGGCGGACCGGGCACTGCGGGAGGTGGGGTGGCCTGCCAGGGTCCCGACATGAGGCCTCCTTAAGCCCTACCCTCCCCCCAGCACCAGTGCCCGGGACCCTCTGCAGGGACTGTTTCCACCAGGGCCCCGCAGCACTGCCCAGCACCCTGGCCCGGCTCCGTCTGCAGGACCTGCTGGCAGGACAGGCCCCTGTCTGTGCATCAGAATTCACTGGGAGGCAGCTGCTCCTACAGCCTCAGATTCCAAATCCAAATGCCCAACAGGAGGGCCCTGGGCGAGCAGCTGAGTGCGTCAGGCCTCTGCCCCCAGGACACTGCAGAACCCTGCTCCAAGAGGGTCTTAAACTGGCCAGTAAGGGCTCCAACTCAGAACCACGGAGTCTGCAGGACGGAACTGCCTCCACCCGGTATGGGCAATGCACTCAGGGAGAAAACCAAGCTATCCTCCAAACACTGGGGAGCTCTGGCCGGCCTCCTCTGTTAATATTTGACTCAAGCCTGAGGTACCTAATTCAGCATTAACTGGAGTCACTCAATGGCCATGAGCCCCTTGGTTCCGCAGTAACTCAGGTGGGGGTGGGGACAACCTGGGCTGACCCCGAGGAGGCTGGGATTCAAGAGAGGCCGACCTCCAGATCCACTCATATGACCCTTGGAGCCGGGCCCTCCGGGGGGCGGGGGGCGGGGGGCGGGCGCCCAGCTGTGTGTGGACACAGCTTTGGGAGGGTCCTGCTGCCGTCCGAGGTGCTTGTGGAGCTCCACGCCTTTCTCTCTGCAAATCACTGAATACAGCAGCAAGGAAAGGGAAACTGTGGAAGCTCGGGGAATGTACCCCAGCACAGCAAGGGCAGCTGGCCAACGCTCAGGAAGTGGACCAGCCAACACTCAGGGACCAGACCGGCCAACACGCGGGAACTGGACCAGCTAACCCTCAAGAACCATGTCACCATGGAACATAAGCCATGGTTTCCAACTCCCTTAAGCTCCAGGACACCATTTCCAAGCTTGATTTGCCCTATGGAGAAGGAGAAGTGGTCAAAAGTGGGGACATTAAAACCACTTCGGCCGGGTGCGGTGGCTCACACCTATAATCCCAACACTCTGGGAAGGAGATGCGGGCAGATCACCTGAGGTCGGGAGTTAGAGACCAGCCTGACCAACATGGAGAAACCTTGTCTCTACTAAAAATACAAAAAATTAGCTGGGCAAAAATACAAAAAAATTAGCTGGACATGGTGGTGCATGCCTGTAATCCCAGCTACTCGGGAGGCTGAGGCAGGAGAATCTCTCAAACCCAGGAGATGGAGGTTGCAGTGACCAGAGATCATGCCATTGCACTCCAGCCTGGGCAACAAGAGTGAAACTCCATCTCAAAAAAAAAAAAGCCACTTGGACCTTCCTGACACCACCCACCAGGTGGTCTCCCAAAGAACAGGCCCCTCCACCCAGGAGGCCCACAGCCCCGCCTCACCCAGTGGCCTGACCTGGGGCCGCTACCTCCCCTTTCCTTGGCAGGGTGCTGGGCGGAGGCCCCGTTTTTCACCAACCGACGGCTGGGAGAGCCCGTGCCACCCACTGTGCCCTGAGACCCGCACAGGACGGCGACTCACAGATGCCTTTTGCTGCCCTGCCCGGGTCCTGGCACGGCGCGAGGTGCGTCAGGCCAGGCAGCCACGCAAAGGCCCCGGCTCCTGGCTTCTGCCATCTATTCTGTCCTGCAACTCTATCCTGGAGCCTCCCATCCCTTCAAAAGCTGCAGGAAGAGGTGAGACCCTCAGTGCCCACAGGCGAGGCCCCGCCATCGCACTCCAAATGCCTGCCCACCAAGCCCAGGGCCTCCTGCCCCTCTACAGACAGAGCCCACCAAACCCAGGGCCTCCTGCCCCTCTACAGACAGAGAGCAAGCGGGTGTGCCAGGGTCCCTGAGCCAAGTCCAGGTGCTCAGACTTTGCTGAGATTAAACCTCACAGTGAGCCTGTGTGTGCCTGCATGTGTGTGTGTGTGTGTGAGCCCATGTGTGTGAGCCATGTGTATGTGAACCTGTATGTGTGAGCCTGTGTGTGTGAACGTGTGTGTGTGAGAGCTTGTGTGAGCTGTGTATATGTGAACCTGTGTGTGCGTGAGCCTGTGTGTCTGTGAACCTGTGTGTGTGACAGCCATGTGTGCGTATCGGCCCGAGCGTGTGTCTGTGTGAGTGTGTTGGCATGGAATGGGGTGAAGATGGCACCACACCACAGGCAGGAATGGAGGGTTGCAAGCTGAGAGGCCGCACATATGACACAGGTCACAGTCACAGTGCTCAGGAATTCCAGAGGGGTGCAACTGGCCCTGGGGGACCCCGGGCTGTGTCCTGTCACAGGGCCCTGAGCCTCAGGTGCTGAGGTGTTCAAAGGTTCTCTCCACTCGGTGGTCCACCTGGCTGCCTACTGCCTGGGAGGTGGCAGGAATGAGGGTCTCTGTGCCAGGCAGGCACGGCAAGTACCCGGCCAACCCTGAAACAGTGTGAGCTTCCTTCCTGGCAACCTGCCAGCCACCTGACCCGCTCCACACCTTCCAGGCCTGCAGGCAAGAGAAGAGGACTGCAGGAGTGAGCAATTTAAGAAATGGAAGGCCGAGGTTTTCCAATCTAATTAACAGCATGACAAGCCAGGATGGGCTGCTGACCCGCGTGGAGCCTTGCACAGCCAGAAACGCGGTGTCCTGCTCCGCTCCTGAGACGCCAGGGCTGTCACTGCAACACAGCCCCCAACACTTCCACACGGGCGGACTCTGGCTCTCCAGGCACCGCAGTGCCCTCTCCTTCCCTTCCCAGCTCTCCTGAGGCCTGTGGTTCTGGGAGTCTCTGCCCCGTGCAAGCGTGACCGTGGCCCTCCTCCCATGTCCAGCCGCACCAGGCCCTGGGATCCCAGATCTGGCTTCACCTTTGCAAGGGGCTCAAAGCAAGCACCTATGGGGGTGGGGGCGGCAAAGCCGTCTGGCCAAGGTCCCTTCTCTAGAGTGCCTGTCTGTCCGTCTGTCCTTGAGGAGCCTGAGGAGTGCAGGGCAGGACAGGCAGGCACCAGCTGACCCGGTACCGGGCAGGGACCAGTGCAGGACCTCGAGGCAGGGCTGGGTGGGGTGGGGGTGGCCAGAGTCTCCTGGCTCGGAGCAGACACGGGTGAGTGGCACAGACTGTCCTCACACCCTCCTGGGACAGAGGTAGGAATCCGTGACCAGGACAGACACAGGCAGGACTGGGAGAGGCAGAGCAGGTGCCTGAGCTTGGCCACGCACAGCTTCCAATGAGGTTGGGCCATCCACAGCTCCCCAAGGTTCCCCGCCACTGTTCACCCCACCCCAGCACAGCCGAGAGCTGTGGTTTCTCCTCCCATGGAGTCCTGCATGGCTGCCCACTGCAGGCCCAGCCCAAGGGCACCGCCTTCTCCAGGCTGCCTTCCCTGCACATGCCACACCTCCAGCCCCAGAAGGTTCTGAGGAGGGGAGGAGCTGGGGCCCCCACTCGCCCTCCTGTTGCCAGGATACAGGCCCAGGAAAAAATGCCACAGTGCTGGATTAATGTCTAGACAACGTGACCTTTCCCCTGGTTCTCTAGATATAATTGGGACCCAAATTGTCCGGTGTCATGAGCTGACAGCAGGGATGAAGGAGGGGTCTGTTCTCGGTGCCCCGAGGGGACTCCGGGAGAGGGAGAGGGCAGCCCACTACCTGCGTGGGGGCTGCAGGGGGACGAGCCAGGGTCGCCCACAAAGGCGCTTTCTGTGGAGGGGACGTCACCTCTTCCATCAGCGATGACGCAGCTCTGAGATCACAGTGTCCTCGCAGTGGCTCCCGTTAACTCCCTGCTGCCCGTCCTGCCAGGCTGGTGCCACGAGACCCTCGGGGCTGGGCCGTGGGACAGGTGCCTGCCCAGCCCTGCAAACACATCCAGCAGGTGTCGAGGGCTGCCAAGCACAGACTTCTGCTGCCAGCCATGCACAGTGCCAGCTGCGACAGCAACGCCTCTGCCAGGAGACTCGGAGGAGACCGGCCCTGACGCTCCTGTCGGGGGGAGCTGCTGCACACTCAGGCAGGATGCAGGGGTCCTGAGGGGGACCCTCGGCTCACCCACGGCTCCCGTGGCCGGTCTGGTCCTGGTATTTATCTCAACTTCATTGTTGTCCAGAAGCTGCTTTTTATTATTTGTGACCATGAAAGGATGGAAACAAATTCCTGTTTTGAGTCAAAGCTACCTGCGTCCACCGGGCCACAGAGCGGGGACACGGCCGTAATGTGGAGTCAGTAAGCCAAGGTTGTGAGAAGATTCTCAGGAGGGGGGTCCAGGGAGGGAGAACTGAGGGCTGGGGTTCCGGGGGACATTTTACTTTTTATTCCAGGCAGCGCTGTACTGGCTGGGGCCTCAAATGCTGAATAATGCTCCTGTTGGACTTCAGTAATTTTAAAAAATAAAACTGTTTAAAAATCATGAACATTTCACAATGCAACCAAGTGGCCCCAGGTCCTCCCCTAAGCATGGTGCCCATCCGTGGCTTTGAGGAGGGTCCTTCAGCGCCAGCCAGGCTTCCTGGCATTTACACCCAAAACGCCTGATAAATCTGCTGAGGGAAACACTGTACCTGGCAGGACATAAAGTCCAGGCCACTTTGCAGCCCAGCTCCCACCCCAGGGCCCGAACAGTGATGGGCGGCCTCAGAGAGCACCCAGTGGCCCCAGGAAGCCAGACCCAAGCCTTTGGAGCCAGCCTGGCCTTGGCGATCCTGCGAGCGTGTCACTACATGACATTAAGTGTCACCACACACGGCATCGTGTCACCACACACGGCATCGCGCATCACTACACACAGCATCATGTAACTACACGGCATTGCGTCACTACACGGCATCACGTCACTACCCGGCATCACGTCACTACACGGAACTGCATGTCACCACACACGGCATCACGTCACTACACGGAACTGCACGTCACCACACACGGCATCGCCTTACTACACGGAATCACGTCACTACATGGAATTGCATGTCACTACACACGGCATCGTGTGTCAGGGCCCAGCTCCAGAGCCTCTGGCAAGGGCTGGCCAACTTCTGCTCAGCACTTTGGCATCCCTGACCCGCCACTGACACTGGGGACCCTGGTCCTCGCGTCCATCCTTTACTGAAGACAGGGAAGAGCTGACCTGCAGCCCTGATGCCCCCAGACTGAGGCGGTGAAGACTATGGCACTGTCTGCCCCATGGAGGGGTTGCTTCTCCATCTCCCTGCCTGCAAGCCGTCCGGGGGGTCTGGCTGGTTCCACATGACACAAGCCCCTCTAGAGGGTGTGTATTGGCCATCACGCCTCGCAGGGCCGCAGGCACAGGAGGTCGGGGTGGGAGGGACCCGGGAACCCAACGCTAAAGCAGAGACAGCCTTGGAGGCCCCTGAGGAGGTGCCGCTGCCCTGAGACCCCAGGAAGTGACGTGAGGTGGCTGGGAGGCCCCTGAGGAGGTGCCGCTTCCCTGAGACCCCAGGAAGAGATGTGAGCCAAGGAGGGCGGGCTGTGGACACGGTGGGGTCAGCAGGTGCACGAGGCGGGCTGTGCAGAGCAGGTGGGAACCGCCGGTGAGCACCCCGAGGCTCAGCAAGGAGGCAGCCTCTGCAGTGATCGCAGCAGACAAGTGACCGGGCAAGCGCCGCCCCAGAGCCAGCCCGGGAATTCATCTAAACACCCGGCAGCTGTTCCCAGGCCACCAGCTCCTGCCACAAAGCAAGGGAAACCACCAAGAAGGGACGGCTGCCTTGACGTGGGAAGAATGAGCCCAGCACTGAGCTGCCCTGCCAGAGACATCCCTCCCCAGCTCGGGGACCCTCAGCGATGCTGGCGGGCAGGCGTGGGAAGGGCACGCCCACCCTACCACTTCGGCAGCCGGGGGCCGGGATGCAGACCCCTCTGCCCCCACCAGGGATGAGCACCCGGCCAGCTCCGCTCAGCGCTGTCCTCAATCTGCAGATGCAGCCCACAAAGAGCTCGGAGTCAGAGCCGGCTCCCCTGGAAGGGAAGGGTCTTGTCACTGCACATCTAGACAGCAGGCCCTGGCCGTCCAGCCCCACGCCAGGCGCCCCCACTCACAGCCAGCGCTCCGGGGGCGGCACACGTTAACGAACAGGCACCTGCCCTTCTCGGTTCCTGCGGCAGCAGGACTGGCCATGCCAAGGCCACCTCCCAGGAAAGACGTGTCTGGGGAGATGGAAGAGGCCGGAGACACAGAGTGCTGCCAGCTGCGCTGTGGGTGGGGCCTGGGGAAGGAGGTTGGAGGCCAGAACCCCCTTTTCTCTCTTCCCTACGGTGCAATTCTCCCCACCCTTAGCGTTTTCCACAGAGCAGCACCTCCTTCACCACTTCATGGGAGTGGCACCCAGGATGGAGGGCCCAGCTCTGCCCAGACCACAGTGGCTACAACAACGGATGCAGAGGATTTGGGCCAAACCACATCCCCCGGCCGAGAGCGGTCACCCCACAGTCCGTTGTTATTAACAGGCCTGGTGCACAGGTCCTGGATGTGCTGAAAAGCCCATCAGGGAGCTGGAGGGAGCAGAAGTTGGCACACAGAATGCCAGAGAGACCGCGGTCCTAGAAATGCCACAGAGAGGGCAGCTGGGCCAGGCAGGGCGGGGGCACCCGTGAGACCCTCGAGTCGGAAGAGGACACCTGAGGACACTGAGCAAGCCACAGACCGCAGGACAGGGAACCTGCAGGTGAAAGGGCCCCAAGCCCCGGGGAACCCAGGGATCCCTGCACAGCAGGCAGGCACGTTCGGGGGCCAATCCAGAGACTACAGTGGAACAGCCCACAAGCACAGAGAAGCAAGCGCCAGAAGGAGGTAAGGCAAGCCGGTGCCATTCGTATCCATTAAGAGGCTAAGAATCCCACAAGGCCCTGACAAGCCAGGAGGTGAGTCCACGTGAAATACAAAAACCAGCAGGGTCTGGCAGTGAGGGTAGGAGCTGCTCCTGGGGAATCTGGGCGGGCTCTCCGGGATCCCAGCACCACCTTTGGGAAGATCATTTCCCAAAACACACATTATCTAAACAGCAACCCGCCACAACCAAAAGCAACCAAGAACACCGACAGTCAGAAAAGCCCTTTAACAAAAATAACTTAGGGAACTAGAATTATTTCTGCTGAAAACAGAAGGGTAAAGATCAAATTAGCTGCTTCCAAATATCTGAAAACTCACGGAACAAGAAAACATACCTGACACTGAAAGCACTGTCACTCTCTCGAGAGCAAGACCAGCTTGCAATTCAGACGAGGAAATGCAGAACGAGGATATGCAGAACGAGCATATGCAGAACGAGGGAAGGGAAGAGTTGTCAGGGGCAGGCGCTGGGGCTGGGGATAAAAGACCCAGGCAAAGTGAGCTGTGCTGCTTCCAATCAAGTGGGAGAGTAGAGGCTGCACCTCTGGAGTTCAACTAGAAACTGTGTGCTAGTCAGCATGCAGCTCCAATCTGACTAATATTTAGCACCTGCTGAGCCTAAGCTGGAATCTAAGAGATGCCGGGTGACCAGGTCACAGAGGACGGACCGCGGTCCAGGAGAGCACACTGTCCTCAGAGGAAATCTAAGAGATGCTGGGTGACCAGGTCACAGAGGACGGACCGAGGCCCAGGAGAGCACACTGTCCTCAGGTTCAACACCTAGGGGCCTGGATTTCTGAATCCAAGCAAACACCGCCCTGCCCCGGCCACCCCCACACCAGTGCGGAGCCTCGCGGTCCCCACACCACCCCCAGTTCACAAAGGACACCAGGCGTGGGGAGACTGTGCCCCGGCCACCCCCACACCGGCCCCAGTTCACAAAGGACACTGGGCATGGCAAGACTGTGTGTGCTGCCCCAGTCTCCTGGCCAGAAAGTGGGCTGCAGGACAGAGATCCAGGCTGGCCGGCCCTACTGCTCCTGACCAAGATGGACCTCAGAGAAGGTCCCCATTCCCCAAGAATAGGTTTAAAAAGCCGGGTCTAGGGAGCCACGATCCAGATGCCAATGAGAGGCGTGATTCACAGGTTTCACGGGCCCCACAGGAAGGGCCGGTGTGGCCACGTTCCCAACTCAGCTGGGTCAGGGTCACAGAGGCATACCTGCCCGGTGTTGCTGGGCAGTCCGGATAACAGAAGGGGTCTGGCTGTGTGTTCTGGATAATTGAAAGGCCCGGCGAGGCATTCCAGATAGCCGAGGGCCCACGCAGTGTTCTGGATAAGCGGGGGCCCACACTCTCCCGGCCCCCGGCAAGTACCCTCAGGGCTGAGGGCCTGCTTGGCACGTGCCTGGTCAGCTTTTCTTTATGAAAACCCCCAACACACCATGCCCGCCTGGCTGCGTGAGCACCACCTGGGGCTCCACCCGGCTGCAGCGCCAGGCACTGGGCTGGATGGCACTTTCCGGGAGTGCTTCTGCGCCTTTGCCTCATTCTCCAAAAGTAGAGCTCGCACCTCTCTGAAGGCCAGGCAAGGCGTGAACCCCAGGCCCCCAGCCAGGGTCTGATCAATGGCACCGCCTGCACTTTCCCGTCCGGGGCCTGCCCCGGCCGCCTGCCGCACCCCCGCTCTCAACTCCACACCACGCTGGTTCCCACCTGCATCCATCTTCCGGAAGGGGGGCTCCATTCACAGCCCCGCTCCGCCGCCCCTGCGCATGGTCCTGCCCCTCCTCCTGCCCCACCCGTGGCAGCCGGTCCTGAGCTCTGAGCCCTGGGTGTCCAGCTCCTGGCTGCTGCCCTGGGCCTGTTGGGAGGTCATCCTGGGGACCTGAAGACCAGAGGTTCCATTGAGTCAGGAGATTCCGAAGGCCGAGGACTCATCTTTAAGTCTCCACAAAGCCTGCAGCCTGGGGTGGCCCTGGGTGTGCAGGAAGTGCTCGTATTCTGACCCCCAGCAGCCTTGAGGGTCCTGCTGAAGCCGGCACACATCCAAGACTTCCTGCCCCACAGAGTGGCCCTTCGCAGGTGAGAGGCCCTTATTCCCATGGTCACTAATGCCACCCCTTCGGTGAACCAACACCACGCCGCACTGTCACCTCTGGCTGCTGGGACAAGTCAGTCAGTGTCTTAAAGCAACACAGGCATCCCTCAGAGCTCAGGAGACTGGAAGTCAGAAGTCACGGTGCCCGCAGGGGTCCTCTGGAGGCTCCAGGGGGAACCCACTTCCTGGTCTTCTCATGCCCTCCCCAGCGGCTCCATCTCCATCATCCCCTCCTCTCCCTGTCCTGCCCCTTCTCTATAAGGACCCTCGTAATGACGTGGGGCCCACCTGATAATCCAGGGTCATCTGCACCTGATCCTGAGCCTCATCCCACACACAGGCCATACTCACGGGTCCCACAGGCCGGGGTGGTCAGCTCGGGGTCAGTATTCGGCCTTCTATGCGTGTGATCGGAAGTGGAAGCATAAATGAGGGTTTTGGGTTTTGTTTCTTAGGTTCGGGGACATTAGTGTCCATCTGTCTGCCCTCTCACTGGCGGGCAGGGCTGTTTTCTGGTCTGGGAGGCTGGCTGTCCGTGAGGCCCTCAGGCCACATGCCCGGAGCATGGCCATCAGCAGGGGCCAGGCCTGGGGCAGAGTCGGCCGCAGGGTCCGAGCCTTGTCTGCAGGAGGCCGCCCAGGTCTGTTAAAATGCCAGACGTCCCCTGTGATGACAGGAAAGGCTGAATTGGGACAGGTGGTCTTCCTGGTTTCCAAACCTCCCACAACATTCTCAGTCATTTTCACAATAGAAACGTGTGACTAACAACCTGAGTAGGTCGGACTGGAGCCCATTCCTTTGGGGGTGAAGTCTCATTTCAGCTGGAAAACAGGGATGTCCTGCTGCCCCGAGGGGATCAGAGACCCCGCATCAAGATGTGCCCCCGAAAGGGAGACAGGGCTGAGATTTGGGGACCCAAAACAGATGAGAGGTCAGCAGCAACACTGCCTGCCAGGCACAGGCACACCATGGCCTCCTAGCAAGAGGCAGGGCAGCAGCAAAGCCAGGAGAAGGGAGCTGATTGACGGCCAGAGCCACAAGGCTGGGCAGGAGGGCCTGGGGCCAGGCGGTGCATCCAATACAGAAAGGGCCTCCCCCTCCTCCTCCCGATCCTCCTCCTCCACCTCCTCCTGCTCCTCCAAGGGACCAAGGCTCAGAGAGCAGAGATGGTTCAGGTGCACACGGGCTTGGAGAGGGCAAGCTGTTTAGCTGAAATGAGAATTTATACTAGAAGACGCCTCCCAGCTCCATGGACCAGCTCACTCCATAAGGCTCCTGCCCCTGAGGGTCCGCCACCTCCCTCAGCACCCCTCCAATCCCACACCTAGGGAATTTCCTGGGAACCTGCCTTTTAAACCCTCTCCATCCTCTACCCTGCCTCTAGCCTCTGCAAAGGCCCAGGCACAAGTGCTGGGCATGGCTGGCGGGGCCTTTGCTTCCCTCAGTGCCCAGGGACAAGGATGTGCAGGGCTGGCAGAGGGACCCCAAGGTTAGCGTGGACGGGATCCATGGACGCTTCCTTCTTTCTGGCTGGAAGGCTGAGATGATAACAGAAAGGAAGCGGATGTTCTCTGAACTCCTCCTCAGAGGCAGCACATGAGGCTAAACTTTACAAAGCACAGACGCCTCCCTCCGGGAACTGCCTCTTCACAAGAAAGCTCCTCGCTGGGGCAAAAGAGGCCCGGCTTTCTCAGAAGTCTCCTGACAGCCGAGGGGTCGTAGCGGGAGACTTTAGAAAATGTTTGCCGCCCAGTCACAAATCCAGCAAGTGGAGGAGACAGGTGTTCCCTGGGTCCCCGCGACAGGGGCGTTGAAGCCTGTCATGGTGCAGGCGCCCTGGCCTGCGGACACGTAGCGCGGCTGGAGGAGGTGGGAATGGCTGCCCTCTCTAATACACATCTTTCAGTTCAGCAGGCACAGCGCGGGGCTCAGTAAGAAGCAGCACAAAAGCTGTGTCTGCTCACGGGGACCCATTTTACTCACGTTGCAAACCAGTCCCTCCTACGGGGCTCTGCCCTAAGGGTGGGGATGGAGCCCTCTCTCCACTGTGGCGTCCCCCCTAGAGCCTCAGGACCGGCTGGCCTCAGAGGGCTGTCAGCAGGACACACCCCAGGAAGCCGATGTGTGATGTCCCATCCTTCCTGTATGGCCCCATGACGCTCCACCATCCCCAGGCACAGATTAGAGACCAAGACACGGAGAGGGTGAGCAGCCTGCCCGTGGCCACACACACTCAGGGTCACAGCCTGAGCTCTCAGCCATCACACTAGGCGGCATCCCACCCATGAGGGCAAAGAGGACCATAGATGACGGCCAGGCTTCCTGACAGTTTAGCCACTACTGTGAGAAGCATCTCTAATTCCATATCCACAAAGGCAGAGTCAAGACGCTAACAGCTGACAGGTGCCACGTGGCCTCCCCACAGGCACTGAGGCCTCAAGCACCTTCACTTGCAGGACCCTCACGGCCCCTCAGCAGACCTGCACCACAGATGAGCAAAGTGGCAGGGCCAGCTCCATTGTCTGTGTGCCTGGGCCGCAGGCCCCTGAGCTCTGCTGGCCACTCCAGGGTGCCATCTCTAAAGGGACCAGAAAAATGAGGAAAAACAACTCCACACATTAAGAAATATACCCCATGGCTGGGCACAGTGGCACACGCCTGGAATCCCAGCACTTTGGGAGGCCGAGGCAGGTGGACCACCTGAGGTCAGGAGTTTGAGACCAGCCTGGCCAACATGGCAAAACCCCGTCTCTACTTTAAAAAAAAAAAAAAAATTAGCCAGGCGTGGTGGCCCACACCTGTAGTCCCAGCTACTCAGGAGGCTGAGGCAGGAGAATCGCTTGAGCCCGGAAGATG
The DNA here is from genome assembly GCF_000001405.40 of Homo sapiens. Taxonomy (NCBI): domain Eukaryota; kingdom Metazoa; phylum Chordata; class Mammalia; order Primates; family Hominidae; genus Homo; species Homo sapiens. Next base: position 29,556 of record NW_025791815.1, on the reverse strand, counting down.
GAGGTTGCAGGGCGCCAAGATCACGCCACTGCACTCCAGCCTGGGCAACAGAGCCAGACTCCATCTCGAAAAAAAAAAAAAAAAGAAATATACCCCCAGTTAAAGAAATATCATACCCCCAGTTAAAGGCTGACCATAAACAATAAAAGTACGCAAAATAGGACATCCAGAGCTGAAAGCATCAACAGACAAAAAGCTACGGGGAAAGAGAATGCACCTGCAGGGCAGTGGGCACGAGCCACAAACCCGGCATTCCCAGAGAAGCACGACGGCCCCTTAGTGCGTGAAAAAGTTCACCCACACGGTGAACGCCACGTTCCCAGAGAAACACGACGGCCCCTTAGTGGATGAAAATGTTTGCCCGCATGGCAATGGGGACTCACAAAACAGAACTCTGAGATGATATTTTCCATCAACCAAATTAGCAAGGTTTTTAAAAGACAGGATCCAGCCTGGCCGTTTGGGCCGCAGAGCTGTGTGTAAATGAACGTCGCCCATCAGAAGCGAGGCCCTCCCCTCTCCTGCAGGTCCCTGACCACAGCCTGCCCCCCCCCCACCCCCCGCCATCAGCCCTGACTCTGGCTGGGGTGACACCCAAGATAAGAGCTGTGAGAAGACGAAGCCCTCGCCTGTGTCAGCGATAAGGGTGCACTGTTCCCTATGACTGCTCACTCACAGCGCCGGGCCCTCCAGAGCCTGTGTCAGCGATAAGGGCACGCTGTTCCCTGTGACTGCTCGTTCACAGCGCCGGGCCCTCCAGACTGTGGGCGTCTGAGGCTTACTCCGGGCCCTTCAGACTGTGGGTGTCCGAGGCTCATTGTGGTGTTTCCTTCTCTTCTCGGGCAGGCACGGCCTCTCGCACACAGAAGGTGCTCAAAAATGCACACAGGAAAAAGGAATCAAAGGCCGGGTGGACCAAGAACAGTGGCTGGGCTATCCCCAAGCAGCTGGCGGGGGCCTCGCCACCCATCAGCCCACAGCCCTGGGCTCTGAGGTTCTCCACTAATGCCAGCCCCCAATCCTGCTGGCCTCTTTAGCCCCAGCATGGAAGAGGTCACAGACACTGGCTCCATGGGGTCACCTGGCATCGGGGAAGGCAGAGCCACTGCAGACGATGTCCTGCCCCTGGATAACACCCTGCACTGGCAGCTGCAGGGCTGGGACTTCGCCACAGGCCCACGGAGTTCCTGGGACACTACCCCTGTCTCTCCCATGCCCCTCCCTGCCACAGGGAGAGGCCAGATGTCCCGCCCAGCTGCAGCGTCCACCTGAATTGAGTGATTCCTCCCAAAACAAAGTCTCCTGTTGTCTAAGTTGAAACATGGAAGGAAGGTCTCTCTCGGTTCCTGAGGCCATAGGGTGTGTGGACTCGGGCCTGCCCAGGTGTGTCCAGACGAGGCCTCCAGAGCAGCCGAATCAGAGGCTCTTCCTGAGCCCTCATGCTCCAGGACCGGAGATGCCAGACGGCGTGAAGCCGCCACCAAGATGGGCTGCCGGCCCAGGAGCTATGTCCAGCCTGGCTTTCCCATCAGCTCACGTCACCCCAAAACAGACAGTGCCTCTCCTGCCCCCAGGAGCAGCTGTGCTGGCAGGTTCTCTGCAGACAGAGGAGTCCGAGCTGCTGAAACTTGACCCTGTCTCACAATCTCTAAGCACAGATTCCAGAGAGGCCTAACTGCGGCAAATGTTGAAGCTGCTCAACGGAACGGTGGGGAAATACAAAAGCATGGACTTCAGACCAAAAATAAATGAGCAAACGAACAAACGGCTGCGGGGGTGGGTGCGAGTTCCGCCACCGTAACCAATCACGCTCCCTCCTCCTGCCGTTCCCACTGGCCTTCCTCCCTGTGGCTCTGGCCCAGTGTCTGTCTGCAGGGGTCCCCGCAGGGTCAGCCCTTGACCCCCCACCAGTGCCCGGCCCCAGCACCAGCGTGTGCCCACTCGCAAGCCTGCTGGCCTTCTGGAAGCCGGCGTGGTGAGAGCCAAACCGCCACCCAGCCTGGTGCTGGTGCCTGCCCTGCCCATCACAAGGCTCCTGTGGGAACGAGGGGCCCACAGGGGATCAGCCCCGAGGTGGCGAGGTGACCCCATCTGCCACCATGAAATGCCAGAAAGTGCCAGAAAGATGCAGGGGCTTGAGAATAATTCCCCTTTCCACGGCTCCTGTGGAAGAAGCCAGAAAGGCCGTGCCGGGGCCTGCCCGCGCCGGAGGAGCTGCGGGGGGAAGGCGTGCTCCTGCAGGCACGGGGCACAGACACTTCCCCTGCAGCCTCCACATTTCATCTGACTCAGCGCATCCGTGATCAAAAGCTCCTCCTGACAGCCCTTCTGCAGAGGCCCAAACTCGCCATCTAAAACGTTACCGCCAGGGCCGGTAAGCACCGCTCCCTCACTCTCTGTGGCCCCGGGCAGCGCCAGGGGACAACACAGATCAGCTCCCTGCCTGGGCTGGCTGTCTCCTCACGTGACACGGGATCTGGCACAAAGATCCAGTGTGTGGTATGTGGCTTTTACACAATTGCCAGCGGCCGCTCACAGAACCCCTAGAGGAAGCAGCCACTCCCGCCCCGGGGTTAAGGAGGGGAAACTGAGGCAGCAAGGCTGGTGACAGCCACTGGCCGTGGAGCAGGGTCTGCGCTCAGGCACCAGATGGCAGGGCTTCACTTGCCTGGCACTCCGCTGCCTTGGACAGGTCCTGGCCTATGACCGCCTGGTGCAGGGCTCTGGCCTGTGACCGCCCAGTGCTGGCCCTGGCAAGGCTCCCAGCAGGCGGGTCTCAGCTGCCCAGTCATTCTGGGCAGGTGCCTGGGCCTTGAAAAGGGCCTTAGACCCCAAACTCCCAGGCCTGGGAGGCCTTGGATAAGAGGAGCACCCAAGCCCAGAGGCCACAGAACACCCCACAGTGCCCCAAACTGCTTTCAGGATCTTCATGGGCCACAGTATTTCAAAATGTACCAAATATCATCATCGTATAAGGGCGCCCAACATGCATTTTAGTTTCCCAGGATTCTGCCCCTGCCCTGCACAGCACCATACGAGGGAATATCTGTCTCAGACCCTGCGCCGTCTGCCACTGGCCAGCCGCTGAAATCTCGCTGTGGGGTTGGGCCTGGCCAGGCCTGTCGTCTTGTTCTCTGACAGGCACCCGCTAACAGACAGCCTGGAGGGTGGCAGCTCTGACTGGCCCTGGCAGGCACTGGGGTGGCCCCTTCTCTGCATGGTCCAGTGCCCCATGCCGGGGGTGGGGTGAGGGCCATGGCCAGCCCCTCCAGACACAGCCACAGCCAGCTTTGTCCCTGCCAGCCTCTGCACCTGACCCCTGAGCACTGGTGGGGAGCCAGTGCCGGCACAAAGGCCCAGTTGGCTGGCACACCCTCCTCTGCAGGCCTGGGGCTGAGAGAGGAAGAGACTTGCTGGAGGTTTCAGGTGTTGCCCCACTCCATCCCCCACAGCTGTGAGGTTCTTTGGATCCCTAGGCTTCACCTGGAGAGTTCCAGGGTGGCCTCGGGTCTCCAACATACGCTCCACAGCCAGACCCAGCCGGGTCTCCTTCCTGAGCAGAAGCAGGCACCCCTCCCCCAACACAGTGAGCGGGGGTGGGAGGGTGTTGTGGGGGCCCCTCTCTCCGAGCTGCCTGCATACTCCCTGCCCCCACACAATCAGCGGGGGCTGGGGAGGGTGTTGTGGGGGCCCCTCTCTCTGGGCTGCCTGCAGGCTGCAGCTTCTACCCCAGCCCAGCCCCTACTGTCTGTTCCCAGCAATCAGGAGCTGCTCCCAGGGCGGTGGTGCTGTTGATCATACCACAGGATCCCCTGGCACTCCCGGGGCCCAAAGAACCCAGCCCCCAGCCTTTTCAACAATCCAGGTGAAGACAGAACAAGGCACTCTGAGGGAGGAAGACTTTGTGTGGATGCAGCATGACTGTGAGAATCACACGCCTGCGGGGGGCATGTGTGTGCACACACATGTGCACTTTTGTGTGTGTGTGCATGTACACAGTTGTGCCCCTGCACTTCGCGTGACTGGGAATGTGCACCTGTGTGCACAATTGTGCATGCCCGTGTATGCATGTGCCTTGCACTTTTAAATGGAGCAGCAGCAGGTGAAGTGGGGCTCTCCTGGACTGGCCCCCAGTGTCTGGCGCCTGCACTCTGGAGCAGGGCAGTTCACTCCTTCTAGGTTTTCCTACAGAGGACTTCCCCTGCTCTGCTTTCATTTACAGGAAAACAGGAGTGCCCTGAAAAACAAGTTTTGCTGAAATTCAAAACTATCTTCCAAAGTCCTTGCATCTGAATCCTGAAGACTCCCCAGTGGGTGAGCCCAGAAACAAGACCACCTTCTACGCGGGAGGGTCTCTCGTTACCTAGGCGCCGTGTGCCCTGGGGTGAGCCACACCCACGGAACCCAGGTCACTGAAGCCCAATCCCTGCAGGGCTTCAGAGGGAGTGGGAAGTGAGGCGCAGGGACCCTGCCTTGTACCCACATCACTGGGCTCTGTGCTGACCACCAGACAGGAGGAGGTCCTAGTGGTGAGCAGGGGCAGGACATGCATCTTCTGGGGGCTGCAGGGAGGCAGGGGTAGAGCTTGATGCCATGGTGGAGTGTAGGAGAGGCTCAGAGACAAGGAGACTCATGAGACCAGGCTCCTGGCGTGGCCATGGGCATCAGCAACTGCCCCGGTGACACAGTCCTCTTCCTCAGCTCCACTCTGACTCTGAAGCACTGACTACAAGCACCTCTTGGGGGTCACGGCTGTTTCGCACACACAAATCCACCAGAGGAGAGATTGCAGGTAAGACTGCGGCACCTCACACAGCTGGGTGGCAACCAAGCGGCCAAGTGACCACTGAGCCCAGGTTCCTGATTACAGGGAAAGGCACAAACACCATTCAAGAACCTCAGCATCACAGCGACCAATCCTGACACAAAAAAGCAAAAGACTTTTCTAGGGATCAAGTGTAGCACAGAGACATGGAAAGATGCATCATTCTTGGCCAGAAAAAAATGTGCAAATCAGCAAACTGGGCCTCAGGCCTTCAACTCTCAAGGGTGCTTTTTAAGTTTTGAGAACAACTGAAACCCTCGCCAGAGTCAGCATTTCAGACACATTAGCTCTTCTCCAATAACCCCTAAAGGGGGCGACTGTTTTCCCATTTCAGGGGGACTTGGTCCTGCAAGGACTGGAACCCGGGCTGCGGGTGGCCTGGAGCCTGAGTTCTCTCCGGGCTGGGGGAGGGGTGTGTGGGCAGCATGCAGACCCCTCTCTGGGCCTGCTTCCGCTTCAGCCTCCTGGCCACCCGCCTTCCACATTCCATTAGACACCTCCAAGGGGCCTTCCTGCCCCAGAGTGCTTGAGGCTGGGGCAGGCCCGGGACAGAAGAGGAACGCACAGCCCATTTGGCCAACCGTAACTTTCCCTGCTGAGGCCTGCACTGACTTTACACCCCACTCTTAGATCTCAAGATTGCATCTCACCAAAGCTCGCGTTAACAGTTTTTGTTTTTTCTATTCAAAGGCAAAAAAACCATCACCTTTTACATCTCCTCCTTGATAACGTTTCATAAGCTCGGGCTTGGGCCCCAGCGTCTTTCCTTTCCTTTGTCCCTGTGCGATTTAAAACATCCCGCCCAGGGAGCCCTGGTCTGGGCCCTGTGGGCGCTGGCGGCCCGGCTCAGAGGGCAGCTCTGCGGCCTGATTAATGGCCCCGAGTGACCCTGGGCCGCTGTGGGGATGGAGCCGCGTGAGCTCACAGCCGCTCTCCGCCCGTGTTTCACCCCCTAGAGTTCACACAGTAAATGAGGAATTGTCTACGACTCAACAAGCAGGTGTTTTCAATACATCTACTTATAAGCTAGCTACTTTTTTGAAAGGTCTATGCTACTATTTAACCTGGTGACTAAGTCGATTGGAAACAATGAAACAAATTATTACAGGAATCCAGACGACATCCCTCCCTCCCCCTTTCCTGCTTCCTCACCCGCTGTAGCAAGCAGGTGTGGAGTCGAGTCGGAGGCAGGCGCTGGCTGCGTGGACCCCCGGGTGGGATTCCACCCGCGACAAGGCACCCAGGCCCTTTGGGCGGGGCTCCCCTGGGGTCCGCGTCCCCGCCGCCTCCCCCGGGCCTCTGCTGGGCTGGCTGGAGGCAGGAGGCCCCGGTTAGCAGGTGGTGGGGAACTGGGTCCCGGGGTTGGAGGCAGGAAGGTCCCCACGGGCCCCGCGCACCGTTTGCCGCGCACGGGAAGCGGCGAGGCCGGCGGGGCAGCGGCTTCTGGGCATTGTTCTCGGACCGCGCGGCGCTCGGTTGGCATCAAAGGGGACCGCGCAACCCGACACCACGGCGGGCGCGGGGACAGAGGCCTGAGGGCGGCGGGGACAGAGGCGCACAAGGCCCGGCCCGCGGCGAGGAGCCTCAACAGGTTGGAAACGCGGAGACGACGCCCCGCGCTCCGCCGCCTTCCGCCCGCGGTCAGTCCCGGGACCCGGCGCTGCGGGGACGAGGCCGTGACGGCGACAGAGGCCGCGTCTCCCGAGACCCCGCGGCCCCGCCCCGAGCCCTCCCGGCACCGACGACCCCGCCGGCCGCGGAGGTTCGGTCCCCGCGCGGGGACTCCGGCCGCTCGCACCGCGCACCCCTCCCGGCCCGGACCCCGCGGGGAGAATGAATGGGCGGGACTCCGGCCACCCCGCCCCGCTCCGTCCGGCTCCGGCGCCTCCTGCGCGCGTGGGCAGGGCCGGGGCTGAACCCAGAGCGGCCGGGGCGGGGGTGAGGGAGCCGGGCGGGGACCCCAGCCAGGGCGGCGAGGCCGGCGGGCACCGGCGCGAACCTTCCCGTCCCGCCCGGGTCTTACCTGGCTCCGCGGAGGCCGCGCGGACCCCGAGCAGCAGGACCAGGGGCGCGAGCACGTCCAGGAGGCGCCGCCGCCGCGGCCATGGCCAGGGGCACCTGCGCGGGACAGGCACGGGTCAGACCCCGCAGGACCCCCGCGACCCCCGCAGGACCCGGCCGAGCCCCGCGACCCCCGCGACCCCCGCAGCCGCATCTTGGCGTCCCCCAACCCCTGCCCGCAGCCCCGGCCTCACCTCGGCGCCATGCTCTCCCCAGGACCGTCAGCGCCGCGGGATGCTGCCTCCTCCGCCGCGGTGCACCCGCTCGGACCGCCGCGCTGCAGCCGCCGCCGCTGGGAGGCCGGGCAGGGGGCGGGCAGGGGCCGGGCAGGGGCCGGGCAGGGGGCGGGGCGGGCGCGGGCAGGGGGCGGGCGCGGGGCGGGGCCGGGCAGGGGCCGGGCAGGGGGCGGAGCGACGAGCAGGGCAAGGCCCGGGGAGGGGAGAGGGGGGCGGGCGCCGCAGCGGACCTGCGGCTGCGAGGACGGGGCGGGCCGGGACCCGGGGGCGGCGGGGACGGGCGAGGACGGACGGGGACACGTCCCGCCCCGAGGGAACCGCCCGAGGCTGCGACCCAGCACAGGGCCCGGGGGCTGCCCCGCGAGGAAGCCCAGGTTTATGCGGAAGGTGAACACCGCTGCCCGCCGGGCTACGACCCCAGCCCCTGAGTCCGGTGGGGCAGCGGGAAGGGGGGAGATTTGAATAGAGTCACCGCGGGGGGGACGGGACGGAGGAGGAAGCCGGCACCTCCGGCCCGCAAGGCCCCTGCAGGGTCCTGCCCCGGCTGCACGGAGGGACGGACGCGAGACAGGAGGGGCGTGCGAGGGCCAGATCTGTCCCCAGGTCCCCCTGTTCCCAGGGCGCGGCCCAGCAGAGCCTCTTCCTCCCCAGTTCCCAGGCTCCTCCTCCCTCCCAGGTGAAAACCCTGTTTCTATTTCTTCAGGGCCAGCATCCTGAGCCCCACCTGCAGGCCCTGGGCGCTTTCCTCCTGGCAGCTGTGCCCCCACCCGACCGGACCGCTCCCTGCAACCAGAGAGCCCTCACACCAGCAACACCCCCCAGCCTGCTCCCTCCTCGTGTGCGCGAAACTCATGGCACTGGCTTGACGGCTTTCTCTGAAACCCTCTGATTCCGCCTGGCCCATCCACACTGTCCCTTCCCGGCCAGGGCTCATCTCCTATGCCTGGACCAAACAGCGTAGTCTCCAGTCTCCCTGATCTCCCCACACGTGGCCCCACCCATCCTCTGAAGCAGCCCCAGGAGGCAGCAGTGACTTCACACTTCTAGTGCCCGGCCCTCCCGGCCCTCCTCTCTGGGCTTGCTTGCCAGGGTCCTCCCAACCTGACTGCTGCCTCCCACCTCCTCTCCGCCCCTGGAGCTCTCCAGCCGCAGCCGCGGGGCCTGCTTGGGATTCTCCTCTGCTGGCATCATCCCTGCCTGCCTCAGCCTTCCCAGGCCCAATCCTGCCCGATCTCACCTCTTCCCGCCCAGCCACCTGGTCGGGTCCCGACCAGCATCTGCCTTCAAACCTGGAGTCCTTCCCTGAGTGCTTGCGGTGCACTGTGAGGAAGGAAATCAATGTAAAGGATTATGACCCACATTTTTTAAAAATAAAAAGATTAAGGAGAACAGCATAGAGTAGAAGTGGTCATCGCACACTTCTGCAAAACTTTTGTTTCTCAGGTGGATGGAGGAGTGAGTCTGTGTGTGTCTATCAGGGTTTGGTGGTGTCTCTGCAGTGCAGTGGGTGTGTCTGTGTGTCTGCTGTGTGTGTGTCTGTGACCGTACCTTGTGTGCATGTGTGTGCATGTCTCTCTGTGCTGTGTGTGTGCATGTGTGTGTTTCTGTAACTATGTACAGTGTGTGCATGTGTGTCAGCCTGTGTGCGTGTGAGTGTGTGTCAGGGGTGTTCATGTGTCCTGGGTCCTGGTGGCTTCTCCTCCCGAGGCTCCTGGTCTGTCTGGCCCCTGTCCATTAACCCTGCAGTGCAGGTCTCTTTCACCTCTTCCATCTCACCTGCCCTGGGGCACCACTTCCACCCAACCCAACCCATTCCTAAGTCTTCCGTCAGGGCAGGTGCCTGCTGCCAGGGGAAGCAGGTCTCTGCAGGTGTGGCCTGATGCACTGCCCTGGGGGCCTGTCTGCGGCTCCCAGGAGGGAGGGGCTGGGGCAGGGCGGGTGCCAGCCCACCTGTGGCCTGAGTTGGCCTACCTCTCTCCTGCCCCACTCTCCACCTTTGGGGACTATGGGGGTGTGATCAGTAGGAGACACAGCTACTATGAAACACATGTGACTGCTTACCTGGTAGCTGTACGAACTCTTTTTGCTCATTCGTTTCACTTGGGGCCTTACCTTGGCCTCATGGCTGTGTCCCCATAGGCTCTGTAGCATCCCCTCTTTCTATTAGAGTTGTATTGTTTCCTTTGTAGACACGAGTAATATGTGATAACCACAGAAAAATCAACAGAAAATGCAGAAACACACGTAGAAAATAAGACCAAAAGTCTCTCCATTCGCCTTACCTCCTCCCGGGCCCTTCTGCACAGACGCCTGCAGGTGCTCTGAGGGCAGCGCCCAGCGTCCACATGGAGCTCTGCTCGGCCCTGTTTGTCCCTCCACCAGGGTCCTGGAGGCTCTGTGCCCTCTGGTAGGGGCAGGCTCAAACCAGTGCCCCCAAAGAGACGGACGTGCCAGGTCCCTGGGGGGCCTTGGAGCACAGGTGTGGGGAGCAGGGGAGTGGCCATGGCTCATTGCAGGGACCAGGGGAGGGCTCATGGGCTGTGGAGGAATGGGCTGTGGGGTGCGCAGGGAGGAGAGAGCATCCAGGACCGAGGGCAGCTCCGGCAGAGGTCCTGGGGTGGAGCAGGTGGAGCAGGCTTAGGACCGTGTCTGGGTTCTAAGAAGCGGTAGCAGATTCCTCAAGTCTGGGGCCTGCACCACAGGTGTCTGTCTTGCTTCCTGGGCAGGTGGGGCCTGGGATGGGGTTGATGGGTTTGCAGGGAGAGGTGGTACAGACAGGGAAGGGGCTGCACTCAGGCTCAGAGGAGCTGCCCGGGCCGTGGTTACAACCCGCAGTGCGCAGGAGCCTAGGAATTGTTCAGCTTTTGTGAGAGGCTGCACTCCTCTTGACATAGAGCAGACCTGGCCTCAGCCCTGCCTCCACCTGCACCTGCCAGGGCCCTTTGTGCTCCCTTCTCTGCCGCATCATCCACCCAATCACAGGGTGAGTTGTCTGAAGACACATAGCTCACACAGGACACAACCTCACTGTAAAAACTCCACATGTGACCAGTAAAGCTGGAGTCCCAACCCTGCCTCCTGCCAAACCGAACCCTTATCATCTTCTGTGGGTTTTCCTTCCAGGCTGTTTTACAAAATGCATTTTGTAGATATTTGTTACTCTAGAAATATTATGTTGCTTTGTGGAATTTTAAAAACAAAGCATACATGAGATAATATCCATGGTTTTGAAACTTGCTTTTAAAGCTCAATTTCTGTTCTAGCTCTTTCTATGCCAGGATGAACACATTTACATAAATGATTGAATGAAACTAGCTAAGTCTCCCTAAAATTAATGAGACTTAGCTTATTTGTCAATTCTTCCACCATTCATGAGACTTAGCTTATTTCCATTTCTTTGCTTAAAATAATATGCTGTCTTGAAAAGAGATAGAAACTGTGAGAAAGAACAAAATGAAAATGCTAAAAATGAAAACACAGTAAAAGAGATGAAAAATGGCTTTGAGAAGCTTGTCAGTAAACTTGACTTAGCCAAAGAAATCCATGAATTTGAAAATAGCTCTATAGAAATCATCCAAATGGAAAACCAAAGAGATAAGAGGAAAAACATAGAGCGTGTTTCCGAGGGATTACAATACGATCTCAAGTAGTGTAACATAATACAATTGGAATCACAGATGGTGAGGGGGTGGACAAGGAATATTTGAAGAAATAATGGTCAATAATTTTCCAAAATCAATGACAGACATCAAAGCACAGATTAAAGAAACTCAGACAACATCCATCAGGTAAAACAGCAAAAAAGTAAAACAAACAAAATAGAACAGAAACAAAAAAAAAGCACAGAAACCTGTGCATATTCAAGCAGCTGGGGAAAAAGACATGCAGAAACTCTCTAAAGGAACTGGGAGGAGAAGGGAGGGAGAGGGACACATGAGACGCGAGAAGAACCAAGATAAGAAGCACAGCAGAACTATCTGCAGACACTATGCAAGGTGGATGATGATGGAGGGATGGCTTTCAAGTACTGAAAGGAAAAAAAAGTGCTGATTCAGATTTTTTTTTTTTTTTTTAGACGGAGTCTCGCTCTGTCGGCCGGGCTGGAGTGCAGTGGCGCAATCTCAGCTCACTGCAAGCTCTGCCTCCCGGGTTCATGCCATTCTCATGCCTCAGCCTCCTGAGTAGCTGGGACTACAAGCACCTGCCACCATGCCCAGCTAATTTTTTGTATTTTTAGTAGGGATGGGGTTTCACCATGTTAGCCATGGCAGCCTCAATCTCCTGACTTCATAATCTGCCCACCTCGGCCTCCCAAAGTGCTGGGATTACAGGCGTGAGCTGCCACTCGTGGCCTGATTCAGAATTCTTTACTAGTGAAAATAACTTTTAAAAATTAAGGGGGGAAGGGGGAGGCCAAGAAGCAGGTGTTGGCTATCCGAGCAGGGGCCTAGGATATCCTGTTTCTTCTGCAGTTTGCTGACCTAAGCCAATTCAAGGCACTTTGTCTTGGAATTGGACCACTGTATACATTATTTCCTTCAGACATGAAGAGTAATAGAGTATAGAAATGGAAGAAATAATTAAAAATTGTAATTGCTGCAAATGCCAACTATCTAAAGGGAAAATGGTAGTGTTGTATTGTGTTGATAACATGCTCCAAGGTAAACCATGTGATGATAATTCACAGAGCATGGAAGAAATTGTTGGGAAAATACTGCTGTGGGGTCCTTACACTATACGTGAAGCAGTCTCATACTATCCGAAGGTAAACTTTGATTAATTTAAGACTTAACCCTAGGACAGTGAGTACAATTTTCTAACAGAGGTATAAGTTATAGGACAAGAGGACATAAAATGGAATGATAAAGTAATGCTCAGTTAACCAAGAGAAGGCAGAAAAGCGAGCAAAAGAAGCAAAAAACATGTAACAAATAGAAAACACGTGACAAAATGGTAGCTTAAAATCCAATTGTATCAATAATCTATTAAATGTGGATGGTCTAGCCATACCAGTTAAAAGATAGATTGTCAGGTTGGATTTTATTTATTTTATTTTTATTTTTTTATTTTTTTGAGACAGAGTCGCGCTGTCTCCCAGGCTGGAGTGCAGTGGCGCCATCTCGGCTCACGGCAAGCTCTGCCTCCCGGGTTCACACCATTCTCCTGCCTCACCCTCCTGAGTAGCTGGGACTACAGGCGCTCACCACCATGCCTGGCTGATATTTTTGTATTTCTAGTAGAGACAGGATTTCACTGTGTTAGCCAGGATGGTTTTGATCTCCTGACCTCGTGATCTGCCCGCCTCCGCCTCCCAAAGTGCTGGGATTACAGGCGTGAGCCACCACGCCTGACCTGTCATATTGGATTTTAAAAAGCAGGATTCAACTATATCGTGGCTACAAGAAATGCACTTTGAATCTAAAGGCATATATAGAGTTAAACATAATACACCATTCAAGCACTAGTCAAAAGAAAGGTGGAGTCGCTGCTTCATCTCTGACAAATAGATTTCAACATCTACGTGGATGTAGATGTAGATCTAGAAGGAGCATCCACATGGATGATGAGGGACTTTGCATCATAATGAGGGTCAGGGCTCCAAGAAGACATCACAGTCATAAATGAGCATGTACCAAACAACAGGGCTTCAAACCCCATGAAGAAAAACCCATCGAACTGGAAAGAGAAATAGACAGATCCCCAGTTATGCTTTAAGACTTCATCTCTCTTCTCTCGGTAATTGTCAGACACATGGACAGAAAAATCAGTAATGATGCAGAGGGCATGAGCAACACTATCCAGCACCTAGAGCTGATTGATGTTCATAGAACACACCACCCAGCAACAGCTTAGAACATTCTTCTCAAATGTGCATGGACGTCACCAAGATAGACCATATCCTGGGCCATAAGATATATCTTAACAAATTTTTAAAAACACAAATCCTACAAAGTATGCTTTTAGGTCATAACAGAGTTAAGCAAGAAGTAAAAAATAGTTATCTGGAAAGTCCCAACATATTTTGAAATTTTAAACAACACATTTCTCAATAAATTGTATGACTCTTGGGAGACAATTAAAACTTTGTTTAGTTAATTGAAAATAACAGCATATCCAAATTTCTGGGGAAAAGCTAATGCAGCGCTTAATGGGAAATTTATAGCACTAAATGCGGAAAAGAAGGAGCACAAAGACACGACCTGAGCCTCCAACTGAAGAAGCCAGGAAAAAAGCAAATTAAGCACAAAGTAAACAGAAGAAAGGAAATAATAAATATCAGAACTGAAATTAATGAAAAATAGGAAGCAGACCAAAACAGTAGAGAAAAATTACTGAAGCCAAAAGCTGCTGTTTTTTTGTTTTGTTTTGTCTTCTGGAAATTCTGTCTGGACTGATTTTTTTTTTTTTGATGGAGTCTCACTCTGTTGCCCAGGCTGGAGTGCAATGGTGTGATCTCGGCTCACTGCAGCCTCCATCTCCTGGGTTCAAGTGATTCTCCTGCCTCAGCCTCCTGAGTAGCTGGGATTACAGGCATAAGCCACCACGCCCGGCTAATTTTTGTATTTTTAGTAGAGATGGGGTTTCACCATGTTGGACAGGCTGGCCTGGAACTGCTGACCTCAAGTGATGCACCCACCTTGGCCTCCCAAAGTGCTGAGATTACAGGTGTGAACCACCGCGCCTGGCCCAGACTGATTTTTTTTTAAAGGGTACTGACGTAAATTTCCAATATCAAGAATGAAAAAATAGAAGAAAGAAAGATCCTACAGATATTAAAAAGATGGGCCAGGCTCAGAGTCTCACGCCAGCAATACCAGAACTTTGGGAGGCCAAGGCGGGACGATTGTCTGAGCCCAGGAGTTCAAGGTTACAGAGAGCTATGATCACGCCACTGCACTCCAGCCAGGGTGACAGAGTGAGACCCTGTCTCTTAAAAAATAAAAAGGGTAATAAATGCTACTTATGAAAATAGAGAATTTATAAAATACCATTTGTGAACAATTTTAATTTTAAAAACTGAATAGCTCCATGTCTGTTGAATAAATTAAACTCAATTAAAAGCCATTTAGGAGGAAAACCCCTAGCCCAGATGTCTTCACTGGTAAATATTATAAAATATTTATTGAAGGAATAATTGCAAATTACAGAAGCTCTTTTAGAACACAGAGGAGAAAGGGAAACTTCCCAATTCATTTCGTGAGGCCTCTATTACTCTGATACCAGACAGAGACACTGCAAGAAAAGAAAACTGCAGATCAATATCCTGCAAAAATCCTTGACAAAATGTTAGCAAAGAAAACCCAGTACTGCAGAGAAAGGATCGTCACAATCCTGACCAGCAGGTACCATCTCAGGGATGCAAGGTTGGTTTAACATTCAAAAGTCAGTCAATATAATTCACTCTATTAGTAGAATAACTGAAAAAAGTCATGGGATCATCTCCCTACAAAAAATACACATCTACAGAAAAATAATATAGCAAAATTAAACGCCCATTCTTTAAAAAGTTCAGGAAGTTAGGAATAGAAGGGTATTTTCTCAGCCTGGTAAAGAGCATAATTTTATACTTAATATTGTAAAACGAAATCTTTCTCCCAAGGTAAGGAACAAAAGAAGGATGCTGCTTTCACCATTTCTATACAGTATTGCATGGGAGATCTTAGTTTAATTAGGCAAGAACAAGAAATAAAGGGGTACAGATTGGAAAAGAAGAAATAAAAAAGGACTAATCACACATGACATGATTGTCTGTAGGAAATCCTAAGGAGACTATACACAAACTTTTAGAATTAATAAGTGAGTTTAGCAAGGTTGCAGGACATAAGGGCAACACAGAACAACTGGCTGTGTTTCTATATACTAGCGATGAAAAATTAGAAATGAAACAAAAAGCAATACTTACCACAGCAGGGAATATGAAGACTCGGAAGATTCTTGATCAGAAGTTTCAATGTTGTGAAGATGTCAATTGTCCCTAAATTATGTATAAATACAACACAATTACAATCTACATGCTAGCAGCTTTTTGGTAACTATTAGCAAGCTGATTACAAACTCTGTATAAAAACACAAAGGAACAAGAATAGCCAAAACAAGGTTGAAAAAGGAAGAACGAGTTGGAGAATGCTACTCCCTGTCTTCAATATTTTATTATAAAGCTGCAGTCATCAAAATAGTGCAGTTTGCAAAAGGAAACAAATATAAACCAATACAACAGAATAGAATCCAGAAATAGATTCGTGTGTATATGATCAATTGATTTTCAGCAAAGGTGCCTCCTCTTCTCTGGCCCCTCTCCCCCTCTCCCATCAAGTGGCAGCTGGAATATGGGAGAGCAAGATCCATATGGATGGGTGAAACAACCCTGGCCTACGGTTCCATCTCTAGTTCAGCTCCAGAGGGGTCGGTGCAGCACGCATCAAGGAACATGCCCAGGAGCAGGTCACTGCACCCGGGCAACCGAAATCAAGGGTGCCCCCAGCAGATATTTCTAGTGCCTGCAAAGACCTGCAAATTTAGGTGCAATGCGCCCATCAGGGGTCACGTCCTGGGTAACATTCTGCCTTGATTAGATTTTCAGGGAAACATAGCTAGAAAGTTAAACCAGTATTAACTTGTCCATATTGATGAGAGAAGGTTACGTTAATCTTTTACTCATCTCCCAGAATCCGCTAAAAAGAACACAACGGATAACACCAGCTCTTGGAGGGGATAAGAACCGGGCGAAGCGTCCCCATGCTGCTGGTGGGAGCATAAATTGTACAGTCTCTTTGGAGAAGTGGCCTCTCTGATAAAGTGGAGCATGCATGCATCTGACAAGAAGTCCTCTCTTGGGAATGCGCCCCACCACACATGTTCTAAAAACACCTGTCCAGGAACCTTCACAGCAGCACCGTTCATCACAGTCTGAACCAGAAATAGCCCAGTGTCCCTCAGCAGTCAAATGGAGACGGTGGTTGTTTAACACAACGTGGTGACCTTCGGCAATGAGGAGGAAGGTGTGACAGCAGGGCTGAGCCTCACAAATGTCACGGTTGCGTGGGAGGAGACAGATGCCTAAGTGCACACAGTCGATGATCCCATGCACACAAAACCCTTACTGTTTAGTGGTCAGAAACATTCAAAGTGGGCTGGGGGGCAGTGGCTCACGCCTGTAATCCCAGCACTTTGGGAGGCCGAGATGGGCGGATTACTCGAGTCCAGGAGTTCGAGACCAGCCTGGCCAACGTGGTGAAACCCCATCTCTACTTAAAATACAAACATAAGCCAGGTGTAGTGGCACGTGCCTGTAATCCCAGCTACTCGGGAGGCTGAGGCGGGAGAATCGCTTGAACCTGGGAGGCAGAGGTTGCAGTGAGCCGAGATTGGGCCACTGTACTCCAACCTGGGCAACAGAGCAAGACCCTGTATCAAAACACACACACACACACACAACCCACCATTCAAAGTTATTCTTACAGATCATAGAAAAACTGATAAAATTTCATAAGAATAAACATTTGATACTTCTTGAGATCCTAGATGATGTGATCAGATAAGGAATGAATTTTCTGATTCGTCATACATCACACAGAGACTAGTCTCCCCTAGAAATACAGAGGCTCAGAATCCCATCACATTCAGAAATATAAAGATGGGTCAATATTAGGACATCAGCGACCACAAGTCACTGCTTTATCAGAACAGAAAGCCATGGGATGCATCAATAAATTCCAAGATGTTCAATAAAATTCAACACTTGATGATAAAAACTCTTTTGCTATGGGGCAAAGCATGCTTTCTTTTCTTCCTTTTCTTTTCTTTTTTGAGATAGGGTCTCACTGTCACCCAGGCTGGAGTGCGATGCTGTAATCATGGCTCACTGCAACCTTGAATTCCTGGGCCCAAGCAATCCTCTTGCCTCAGCCTCCTGAGTAGCTGGGACTACAGGCACGTGCCACCATGCCCAGCTAATTTTTGTATTTTTTGTAGAGATAGGGTTTCTCCATGCTGCCCAGGCTGGTCTTGAACTCCTGGGCTCGAGTGACCTGCCCACCTCAGCCTCCCAAAATGCTGGGATTATAGGTGTGAGCCACCGTGCCTGGCCAGCATGCATTCTTAACTTCATAAAAGTCATCTCCCAAATATTGAAAATAGATTGTGAAATATTTTGCATTCCTTTTAAAATCACCAAAAAGAAAATGATAAAATTTGATAAGAATAAACACTTGATACTTCTCGAGATCCTAGATGATGTGATCAGATAAGGAATGAGATGGAGAATAAGCATGTTGAGTTATTTGCAGATGACAGCGTTGTCCCTCTAGAAATTCCAAGAGAAATCAGTCAGAACTCTGCAAAGGTATCAGAATAAATAAAAGTTGGGGATGATGGGCATGGGCAAGGTGAACATCAAAACAAACCAATAGTTTTCTTATACATCAACAATAACTAATATAGTATGATAGAAAAAATGTCTTCACGATAGTCACGAAACATGAAATGCCCGCAGTGAGCCTTGAAAGGTGCGCAAACAACTTCATCAAAAGGATAAACTTCTACCAAGGGATTGGAAAGAGTCTCCATAAACGTGAGCGCCCCTTCGTTCCCTCAGTGAAGCCCAAGGGTGAAGAGCAGAGCTTTCGATGTTAGAAAGAGGATGGGACACCCAGTGGTCCCCAGGCCGGTCAGCTCAGGGCTCCATCTCGTCATCACCCTGCCTGTCCCCTGCTCTGCTCTCCGCCTGCTCCCTGGATCACAGTCCCCACGAAGCTCTTGCACTTAACCCTTTCCTCAGGCTCGAGTCTCCAGGGAACCCACCCAGGACATCCTCTAAATTCATAGATAGGGAGTTCACACCGAGGGGTGGTGAAGCGGGAGAGGCACACTCAGCTTCTGCAGCCGTCCTGCCTGGCCCATGTCCACTTGCCAGGGAGGACCTTGGCAGATGCTCGCCCCTCTGACCTCATGAGCTGGTTCTCATCTGAAAAATGGCAGTAATAACAGTGTTTGCCTCCTGAACCAGCTGGGGGGATCCAACCTGACAATCCACTGAACCTCAGAAATCGGACAGGAGCCGAGGTAGAGAGAGTGTAGGCCGGGGTCTGATCCCATTTCAGAGACCGGGTTCACAGAGAGGAGGCCATTTTCCCCAAGCCTGCATGGCCACAAGGGAAGAGCTGGGTTCGGAGGTAGACGGCCTAAGAGTGCCTGCTCAGCCCCCGACCCCACAGCCGACTGCGACCCAGGCTCAGCCCCCGGCCCCACAGCCGGCTGCCACCCAGGCTCAGCCCCCGGCCCCACAGCCGGCTGCCACCCAGGCTCAGCCCCCGGCCCCACAGCCGGCTGACACCCAGGCTCAGCCCCCGGCCCCACAGCCGGCTGCCACCCAGGCTCAGCCCCCGGCCCCACAGCCGGCTGACACCCAGGCTCAGCCCCCGGCCCCACAGCCGGCTGACACCCAGGCTCAGCCCCCGGCCCCACAGCCTGCTGTGTCCCTGCGGCTGCCATGCCAGCCCCACTCTGTCCTCTAGTGTGGAGGCTGCCCTTGTCCTCTCCCCAACACCTCTCTGTGCACCTTTGGTTGTGGGATTTGATCCTTAGGTTGCATGTTCTAGAAAGGCGTGTGGCGGTGGTTTTCTTGCAGTTTTTTCTTGTTTGGCATTTTGTGCAGGCTGCCTGGGGTCTGCGTGACTCCAGGTGTGATGTGGGGCATGTTTGATTGCAGGGTGTGGGTATAACTCAGCTCTGCTGTGTGCCCTCCTCAGTGGGGCATGCATGTCAACAAGAGAGGCTTCGGGAGAGTTCCAGGAACACCACCCCAGAGGGTCTCTACCGCAGGACCAGTCCTGTCACGCCCCCCTTGTCCCCTGCACCACTTCTCAGATGACACCGGCAAAGCGTGACAAAGCGTGACAGACAGCGCTGCTCTCCCCGACTGTCTTTCTCCTCCGGTGAGAGCCCACTCTGGTGGCCCCGGCGCAGGAGGCGTGCACACCATGCACACCGTGCTGGCCGTGTTGAGGTCTGGCTGTCAGAGGCCGTGAACCCCGGGAAGGATGACGCGCTCAAGGCATGAGGAGCGGGCGGGGACCCACCGTGCCCCTGCGGGCCTGCTGCAGGCGGGCGGCCTCGTGCCGGGAGCAATGCCCTGGCAAGCATGCGAGTAAGGACTCAGCCATGGGGCCCAGGCACTGCACCTTTTTGCAACTTACTCTTGGCTCTGTGAGCCATATCCAGGGGATTTCATGGGCTTCTCTCCCCACACTGTGACTGGAAACCAACACAGCTCCTTTTCCTGTTCCTCTAGGCAAGACAAAGCCCAGCTCACTGTGAGCGTGAGGGTGACCCAGCGGCCAGGCGGCCTCCTTCCCACGGCAGTGGCTCCTCACCCATGGGCCCCATGACACCCCCTCTGCCCACAGGCCCAGCAGCCCCCACCTGGACGCAGGGGCTCTGCCTCCTCGGAGGCGGCTCAGACCAGGCCTCCGACTTCAGGGCCTCCAACCATTAAGGACCGGGGAGTCAGCACTTCTGGGAGCCATTTGTGGAGCAGCTGTGGGGGTGCCGCAGGCTTTGTAGCCTCAGCCGTAGGGAGTGGCGCCTGTGGCTCAGGCCTTTTCCGGAGACCCCCACTGAGTTTCCGCCCGGCTCAGAGCTCGAGGCCTGACTCCAGGACTCGCCGGGTTTGTGACTTCGGGAACATTCCTCAGCCTCTCTGTGACTCTGTTTCCTCATCTGTGAAAAGGGGAACGAAAGACTCTCTCATCCTGGGGCCCTGGAAAGGTTACAATTTACAAGACCGACTGTAGCAAGAGTCGTCAAAGGTGTGGAGCAGCTAGAACTCCCGGCCCTGAGTGCGGAAACTCAGGGAACTCCCAGCACCGACTGGAAACTCAGGGAAGGCCACTCACTTCCGCAGTAGGACGACCCTTCTGAAAAACAGTTTTGCCGCTTGCTAAAAAGTTAAACACACACCTGTCTCGTGATCCAGATATTCAGGTCCTCAGTCATCCGCATCAAGACCTGAAGCCACATGTTCATAGCGGCCTTGTTTGTGAGGGCTGCAAACTGGAGGCAAAGCAAGCTCCTGTCAGGAGGCGAGTGTATCAGCCAGCCCGGAGCTCCTCTCCCACGGAGGGCACTCAGGAGTAGAACGCAGTGAACTCAGTGTGGGCCACAACACAGGCAAACAGCACAGAGCTTGTGCCAAGGAAAAGAAGCCAGACCAAAAGGTGTGAACTGCAGGATTGTGTTCACGTAAGATTCCAGCAAATGCAAACCAACCTATGTGACAGAAAATAGATCAATGGTTGCCTGGGGTCGGGACTGGGAGTGGCTGTGGAGGACAGGACAGAGGACACAAGGAACCCTGAGAAGTGGGTCTGTTCACTGCCTGTATGGTGGCAGTGGATTCGTGGGTACACACAGATGTCAACTCATGTCAAATGGACACTGATGTGCAGCTTGTTGTATGCCAATTCTCTGTCAATAAACATGATTCATGACAGTTCAAGCACTAGTTAGTTCAGTCTGCACCCTCGGGTGGGGGTTTCCCTGGCCGGGTATGCGTGGTACAGTAGTAGGTAGCCAGGTGATGTGGCTTGGCTGTGTCCCCACCCGAATCTCATCTTGGCCGGGTATGCGTGGTACAGTAGTAGGTAGCCAGGTGATGTGGTTTGTCCCCACCCGAATCTCATCTCGAATTGTGCCTCCCATAATCCCCGCATGTTGTGGGAGGGACCCGGTGGGAGGTAACTGAACCATAAAGGCATGTTTTTCCCGTGCATCCTCTGGGTCCCCGTCTCCACGCACCCTGCCCGTGCCACCAGGGACCACCTCCTTGCCTGGGAGCCTGGCCTCAGACTCAGCTTGTGGACAGTGGTGTGTTTCGGATGGTTTTTATGTTATTCTGTAAACCACGCAAACACATCACACACACACTTGTGGATGCGTGGTGTATCTTACGGTAAGCAAAGTCAATAAAAAACCTTAAGACCAGGACTACAAATGTGGATGAATTTTTACGATGAAGTTGAGCTTTCTGGGGATGTTCTCAGTGAAGAGGCTCGTCCAGACCCAACTCCCCTGCTCTGCCTTCAGGTGCCGGTGAAGGGGACACGTGGCGTTTCTGGCCCCTCAACTTGTGGGAGGAGGCCTGGGGGTGCTGGGAGGGCCGGGGTGGGAAGAGCTAGGACTGTCACGTCCAGGATGCAGGTGAAGGGGCTGGGGGGCGAGCCTGGGAAGGCAGTGGTCGTGGGGGCCTCACGCTGCAGCCCCACCCACCCAGCCCCTCTCCTCTCCGTCCTGCCCTCCCCACGGTGGTCCCCCTCTTCCCTCTGAGCTCCTGTCCTGCCCCCGCCCCCGCCATCTGCCTCCCCTTTTCCTGTCTCCTGTCTGGCTCTTCTCTCCACCTTCGCCTCCCTCAAGGGGTTTCTGTAAATGAAGGAAAAGGGAAAGATCCAGGGTGTTGCCCGGCCCCGTGAGGGGAGGCAGAGGCCAGCGTGCCCTTTGCCCAGCCCTGCAGGACACCCGGCCTTGGGACAGCCTCGCAGCCGACTCCCGCTGCCACGGGCCGGCGGTTCTGGAAGTCTTCTGAGCTTGCCACTGGCTCTCCCTGCCCACCTTAGAGCCACACGGAGCCCTCTGTGTGCTGCTGCAAGTCGGCGCAGAGATCCCCGGGCAGCAGCCTTCAGCCTTGACTCACTCAGGGCACGGTAAAAAGGCAGCCTCCCCAACCAGCTGCCAGCCCGAAGTCACCTGCTGCGGGCTGTGGAATGAGTGGAGGGGACCTGGCCAGCCCACCCGGGGGGCACAGGTGGGCAGGGTTTGGAAGGCCTCTGCAGGCAGAGCCCCTCTGTGTCCTCCCACCTTGCTGTCTGGGATGTGGGCCAGGCCCCTGGTGCTGGTGAACAGAAGCACTGGGCCCCCACTGGCGAGACCCGGGGCAGGAACCAGCGGCCGAGTTCGTTACCTGTTGTGGTTTCGGTGAGGTGAGTGCTCAGCAGGAAGAGACGCAGGCAGTTCTTGGAGAATCCTGGTGTCAGGCCTGTCCCTTACGGCGAAGCCCCTGGAGAAGGTGGGCGTCTCCCCAGCATGGCCAGGCAGGGACAGGGGTTGGGGGACGTCCAACCAAAATCCCAAAAAGGTGTTCCGTGAGAATTGATGTGATTATTCTAAAATGCATATGGAAGACTAAAAAAACAGGAATAGCTAGGACACTTCTGAAGAGGAAGGGAGATTTTTCCACCGCATGTTGGGATTGTTAAGAAATTATAGCAGTGGAAGTGATGTGAGATTTTTGCCTGGAAAAACAGACGGGCACCAGGATTGGACAGAGAACTCAGGAACAAATTTTTGTGTGGGTGGAACCAATGGCTTTGCAGGTTGGTGGAAACAGGGGAAACCTATCAATCAGTAGAGCTAGAAAAAAATAGTTGTCCATATGGAAAAAGATGAAAGTAACTCCCAGTGGATTAAGGATTTAAATGTCAAAAACAAAACCGTAAATTCTAGTTAGAAAATGTGGCCGGGCACAGTGGCTCACACCTGTAATCCCAGCACTTTGGGAGGTTGAGGTGGGTGGATCACGAGGTCGGGAGATCGAGACCATCCTGGCTAACACAGTGAAACCCCGTCTCTACAAAAAATACAAAAATTAGCTGGACGTGTTGGCAGGTCCCTGTAGTCTCAGCTACTCGTGAGGCTGAGGCAAGAGTATCACTTGAACCTGGGAGGTGGAGCTTGCAGTGGGTCAAAATCGCACCACTGCACTACAGCCTGGGTGACAGAGTGAGACTCAGTCTCAAAAAAAAAAAAAAAAAAAAAGAGAAGAAAAAAATGGTAAGTGGCTCTCTTTTAGAGGGTGTGTTTGGAAAAGATTTCAAAAACATGACACACAAAGAAGCAGAGGGCATAGTCAGAATTGATACTCTGTGAAGACTTTAAAAAGGAGATGATTTACAAAGGCAAAGGCAGGGTTTGTGGAACTCAACACAGGACGTACAGTGCCCAGGGCTACTAACTCATTTATTAGAGTCCGAGAGGGTGCTCCAGCAGGGTGAGCCTACAGTAGTGGTCCAGTGGGGGTGAGCCTACAGGAGTGGTTCAGCAGGGCGAGGCTACAGGAGTGGCCGTGCTCAGTGGAGGACTCACTTGTTTATTAGAGTCCGAGAGCGAGCTCCAGTGGGGTGAGCCTACAGGAGTGGCCGTGCTCAGTGGAGGACTCACTTGTTTATTAGAGTCCGAGAGCGAGCTCCAGTGGGGTGAGCCTACAGGAGTGGCCGTGCTCAGTGGAGGACTCACTTGTTTATTAGGATCCGAGAGCGAGCTGCAGCGGGGTAAGCCTACAGGAGTGGCTGTGCTCAGTGGAGGACTCAACCACTACAGCGATCGGCAGGGAGAAACCCAGGGGAGTCCATTCCCCCGACCTCGCCCTGCGCCCTGGCCCTGCCTTCCTGCTGGGGCCTCCCTGTGGATGAACCTGGGGACTGTGGGGAGTGCAGCTTATGGGCCTGAGGGTGGGGAGGAGTGGCTGCCCACTCCCCATGTTCCCTAGTCTGAGGGGTTTCCTTCCTGAGGGGCTCCTGGGCTTCAACACGGCCTTTGCTCCCTACAACCTGTGAGGCCAGCAGGGTGGCTTACAGGGCTGGTTTCTATGCTCCAGTGTGGACCACGGCTTCCTCCCACCCCAAGCAAGCCTGCCTGTCCTCTTCTGGCCACCCTGGGAAGGGCTGCAGTGTCCAAAATAGCTTCAGAATTCCTTAGAGCCAGAGAATGCAGGGCTTCGGACAACAAAGACCTCTGGGGACAGGGCAGATGTCCCTGAGCCTGGATTCCTGCCTCTGACGTGACCTCCGACTTGGGATTCCCAAGACAAGGGTCAGTGTGGGATGATCCTTTTAAGGGAAGTGTCCCCCTTGGGGTCAGTGAAGTCGCTCCTGTGGTGGGGAGTGCTGTGGTGTAGATCAGGCTCGCCCAGCAGTCCCTCCAGTGGAGGCTGAGAGGCCTTCCCTCTTCTCCCAGGACCAGGGACAGTGTCCAGTGGACATGGAGAGAGCAGGAGGGGCGGGAGTGGCTTCCAGCTCCTGGCAGGGACCATGGCCAGCCCCATCCCCATCTCCAGCCTGGGCCTGGGCTGCTTGCCCATCGGTTGGGTTCATGAGGGCTCAGAGCCCCTGAAGTTTTCAAACACATCCTGATTCCCAAGAGCCGTGATTTGCTGTGTGACCTCGTTCTCCCGGCACATGAGAGGCATTAAAGTTCACGTCTTTCATTTCCTTTCATGCTCAGTTTGCCTCTGGTGAGCAGGGGCTGATTTTTGCTGTAGAACCTTCCAGCACAGACAGGGAGCCCATACACATGGGCTTGGAGCCCCATGAGGCTGCCATCACATGCCAGTCAGGGTTGTTAGTGTTGAGGTGAGAACACGCTTACGAACACACACATGAACACACACTCACATACTCCCACATTCACACACTCACGCACACACAAACGAGACACCAAAGCATGGCTCGTTCTGCCCCCGCCCAGACACCGTGTCAGGAAACTCACGTCTCATTGCTGTGACGCTGTGACGTCCACCAATGACCGTGGAGGTGCCCTGAGTATTGAATCTGGGTTAGGGTAAATGCTAGTAAGTAGGCAAATTTGCCCATGAATAATGAGGCTCGACTGTGTTTTACTTGAAGAAACACGTAGGAGCTAGAAGTAAATGGAACAGCATTCAGGAAGGCAACGCTGTTTTTCCTGAACTCACACAACATCAGGGTCCCAGGGTCCCCGCACCCCGGCTGCCAGGCCTGGCAGTTCTGGGCTGAGCAGTGCGTCTCTGAAGCGTCCCTGTGATGCGGCTTCTGCTGGTCTGGGTTCTACACTGAGAGAACCTGCTCTCATCGAATGGGTGCCTCAGGTCAGGCTCTGCAGAGAGCCAGCTGGGGACCTGCCTTGTGTGTGAGAGCTGCATGGAAGCTCCTGGCACAGCCCCGTGGCAGGAAGGGAGCGATGCAGGAAGCCCAGGGCCGTCTCTGCAGGCTGCAGCTTCTTCCAGGACAGCCTCTTCCTGCAAGTTTCAAAGTCAGTTTCTGTGCACATGAAACCGGAGTCAATGAGGCTGAGTTCCAGCACAACCAAGCTGCCCCCGTGAGGCTGCCTGATACCCAGATGTGTGTGTTTAAAAGAGACATAAGGCAAGATTTGTCACGGGATGAATCATCTTCCATGCTCCTAGGGGCAGCTAATTTTAAAGTAGCCAGGACTGTTTCAAGGTCACGGTGACCCTCGTGGGCTGTGTTATTGCAAAGTCAAACCGGAGAGAGCGTGAGAGCGTGTCCGGGACAGAGTGGATCTGTGGATGCTCCTGACTTTGAGAACGTGTCCGGGACAGAGTGGACCTGTGGATGCTCCTGACTTTTTGCACAGATGACGTCAATGTTTAGGCTTCCCTCCCGACGTTAGTGTCCACCTCAGCATCTTTCACTTGCAGAGCACGTAATGGAGCTGCAACCTAGAAACAAGGAGGTTGAGGTTCCTCGAGGTTCCAGTAAAAGTGCTCCTGAGAGCAGCTCAGGTGTGTATGTCCCCAGCCCTGGCTGGCCGGACACAGCCGGTGGGACAGGAGCCCGGCAGGTATGGGCCAGCTCAGGCCCAGCCGCTGCCTGCCTGGAAGCTGTGTGGCCTCCCCTGTCTGCCTGGGCTGGCCAGGAGCTCACATGGAAAGGGATGCACCTGACCCTGCAGTGCCGGTTCCCAGGGCAGTTGGGCGACACGCAGTGAGCTGCACCCTGGATTCCTCACATAGCTCAGGAGCCTCGGCGTGTGGCTCTGCAGAACCAGGGCCCCTGGAGCACACTTACCCGCAGTTTAAACTGCTCCTGCTGCTGGGGGGCTGGCCCTCTCCCACCCTGGGGTCGGCCGTCAGAGCCCTCCACAAGGAGGGAAGCAGGTACTGATGACATCTGGGGGAAAGATGGACTTTGGGGGTCGGCCCTCAGAGCCCTCCACAGGGAGGGAAGCAGGCACTGATGACATCTGGGGGAAAGATGGACTTTGGGGGTCGGCCGTCAGAGCCCTCCACAAGGAGGGAAGCAGGCACTGATGACATCTGGGGGAAAGATGGACTTTGGGGGTCGGCCCTCAGAGCCCTCCACAGGGAGGGAAGCAGGCACTGATGACATCTGGGGGAAAGATGCGGACATCTGGGGGAAATATCATGCAGAAAGTGGCATTCGTCTGCCTCGGAGTTGGCGTGGCTGGGTGGCGTGTTTC
Source organism: Homo sapiens (assembly GCF_000001405.40). NCBI lineage: Eukaryota > Metazoa > Chordata > Mammalia > Primates > Hominidae > Homo > Homo sapiens. The sequence continues at coordinate 3,186 of NW_025791815.1, read as the reverse complement.
CCATGTCCCAGCCAGTGCGACTCAGCCCTCCCTCCGGCGAGGCACGCAGGCCTAGCACGCTGCCCGTGCGGCTCACGGAGAGGCAGCCACGTGTGGTGGAATCAGTCCACAGGCCTCTCGAGAGCCACGTCCACCAGCCTAGGACCCTCACTCGGCCTCAAGGCACTGCTAAAGGCCAAGGAGGGGTCAAGCCTGCTCTTCTGATCTAGACTGGCCTCCCCCGACCAGGAACACCTGCCTAAAAGCACCCCCTCACCAACAGGGAGGGCCCTGCCTGCGAGCGGCATGAAGTCAGGGTCTCCCCTGTTCCTCCCACACTTCTTCCCCACCCAGGCTCCCGCACTCCCTTGGGCAGGGGTGCTGGGCTGGGTGGATCTGCCCAGCTTCTGCCCTGCTCCACTCCCCCTCACTACCTCCCTCTCTAGCTCCTTCTGCATCTCCCCAACGCATCTCATCGCCACCCTCACCTCCACCTCCCTCCCTCGGCCTGTCTCTTTCTTCTTTATCAAGCCACGAGTGGCCTCAGATGCGGTTACAAACCTACTGGGGCTGGCAGGCCATGGAGACGGTCTATGACGCCAACCCCAGGTGCACACAGGGGAGCTGAGGTCCTGCCACCATGACTTGGCCATGGTCACAAAATCCCCGAAGGAATAGAGGGAATAGAGCAGAGGTCAGCTTCTGACCCCCAGAATGACTCCTGCGGCCGCCTCCTTGGCTCTGGCAGTGGAGAGAAGGGGCTCCAGAGTGGGTGGGAGGTTCTGGTGGAAGGCTTTGGTGAGAGAATGCAGATGGGGCCAGATGTGCGTCCTGCAGGAGCTGGAGCTGCTGGAGCTGGGTGGATGGGAAGCACGCCTGCCCCAGCCACACAGCCCGACCTAGCGCACGGCTCCAGGGAGGCAGGGCTCCTCCAGGCCACTGAAGGGTGCCCTGGAATATAAGGGGCACTTTCCCCTCCTTTATGGAGGCTTCCGTGCCTCAGAACATAAGTTTTCTTTTGTCATTACTGAGAAAGCTCATTTTGTTATGGGAAAAATGAAACCAGAGAATTTGTTCAACCAGGAGCTGTGGGCAGATAAACAAAAACACACACCAGCCGGTTCTAGGCAGTGGGACGGCGCCGCGCCTCCCCGAGACCCCAGTCAGGGCGGCACACACATCTGCACCTGCTGTTCATCAACAGTGACAGGCATGTCCAGGCCGAGCACACCAAGGTCAGGGAGGGCCTCTGGACCCACTTTCTTCACCACGCGGCATTCCTGGCCTTCCGGTATTGACGTCGTAACTGCGTTTCTATTGGCACCACTTTTAACTGAGTTATAGAAAATCAGACACTTCTGTCTCAGGAGACAGATTTCCGACCACTATTTTTATTTTATTTTATTATTTCACCTAGAAATTTTGCCAGCTGGGTACGGTGGCTAACGTCTATAATCCCAGCACTTTGGGAGGCTAAGGAGGGGGGATCACTTGAGGCTGGGAGTTCGAGACTAACCTGACCAACATGGCGAAACCCCGTCTCTACTAAGAATACAAAAAATTTAGCTGGGCGTGGTGGCACGTGCCTGTAATCCCAGCTACTTGGGAGGCGGAGGTGGGAGAATCACTTGAACCCGGGAGGCGGAGGTTGCAGGGAGCCAAGATCGCACCACTGCACTCCAGCCTGGGCGAAAGAGCAAGACTCCGTCTCAAAAATAAAAATAAATGTCCTCTTCAGCATGAATGTAGCTGTTTTGATGCTTGTGGCTTCGGTCATGCACAGGGCACAGGCTCCACCGCATCTGACCACCCCCCGGCCCTGCCCCCAGGCTCTGCGAGGACGTGGTCATCACGGACGAGGCCTCAGGTCACAGCACAGCCCGGCACGGCCATGCCACCGCCGCGGCGCTGAGTCCCGTCCTGTGCAGGGAGCCTCAATGGGCTGGCGGCTGGGAGATTCCCTCTCTTCTTAAAGCAAAGAGCCACTTGGCCGAGGTGCTCAGCCCTGGCTGCAGGGAGGAAAATCACCTGGGAGCAGAAAACCCGAGGAAGTTGAGCCCCACCTGCAGGGCAGGCAGGTCCAGACCTTGGGCGGTGGGGCTGGCTTTGAGCAGGGGCAGGCCCCTGGGGGTGCCGCTGTGCAGCCGGGAAGAGGGTGTGAGGCCCAGAGAGTGTTTGCTGCTCTGCAGGCACGTCCCAGTGTCTCACCCCAGAGGCCATCGGGACCCGCGGATTCCCTCAGGGAGGGCGCCTGGCCTGGCTGTGGCACCGGAGGAAGTGCAGCCCCGGTAGGTGAAGGGACTGTGTCCACATCTGGAGCTTTGCTGCTGCCACCATCATCCTCAGATGACATGGCCCGACTCTGGGGCTCACAGTGCCCCTGTTTTCACAGCCATTTAATTCCTTAGGCCCAGTCCTGGAAGGACGGATGTGCAGCCTCTGGGCCCCAAGGGGAACTTGTGTCCTTTTCCACCGAGTGACCAGCCCAGTGCTTCAGCCGACCCCACCGCAGGGGCCAGGGGGAGGGGGCTCCCACGCTGTGCGGTGCCCAGTGGAGGGCCAAAGCCCCACACCTCTGCAAAGGGCAGATAAAGCCAGGATCAGCTTTAGCAGGGACAGGATTCCTGCAGCAGAGAGGAGTGGATGTGGCCCGTGGTCGGTGACCCCTCCTGGAGGAAGACTGTGACTGGCAACAGGCAGGTGCAATCACCAGATAATTGACCGACAGCTTCTCCACCCAGTGCTTTCTCCATGGGCAGCCCCTCCCTGAGCTCCCTTTCAGAGGCTCCTCCCCACCACCCAAGGGAGCCCCGCACAGCCCAGCCTGACAGCTGAGCCCAGCCATCCTCCTCTCCCGTCTCCTTTCCCATTCTGTGGACTTCCTGGGGTTGCTGTGACAAATGGCCACAGCCTTGGTGATTTTAAACAACGGAAACGCATGCTCACGGTCTGGAGGGCAGGAGTCTGAAACCAGCATCACTAGGCCAAGGGGCCCCTCTGAGGCCCTGGAGAAGGTCCTGCTGGCTTCTCTTGGCTCCCAGCGGCCGTGCACTCCTTGGCTTGCGGCCACATCGCTCTGACCTTCGTGGACAGCCTCTTCATGGTGCTCTCTGCCTCCGTGGTCCATGGTTTCCTCCATGTCAAGTCTCCGTCTTGTGCGAACCTTGCAATGCCACCTGGGGCCCACCCGGATGACCCCAGTTGATC